>NC_000003.12:125675270-125826786 GCF_000001405.40 Homo sapiens | reverse complement strand
GTCTGGCTAATTTTTTTACTTAGTAGAGACAGGATTTCACCATGTTAGCCAGGCTGGTCTTGAACTCCTGACCTCAAATGATCCACCTGCCTTGGCCTCCCAAAGTGCTGGGATGACAGGTGTGAGCCACCATGTCTGGCCACAATGAGGCTTATTCTTGGTCATGTTGCATGTCTGGGCTGTGTTAGGGCATTGTGGGGTGGTCTGTTCATTGTGTTCACTCAGGGATCCAGGCTGACAAAAGCCCCATCTCTGCATGTGTCCTTGATCACCACTTCAGGGGAAAGGGAATGTGCTGGATCACAGAGCCTCTTAACACTTCCACCTGGAGGTGACTCAAGTTGCTCCTGCTCATGGTTCATCGGACAAAACGGATCACAGAGTCATGGGCAACTTCTCTGTGCCTGGAAGGGGAACCAAAATATGAATAGCTACATTGATTTTCCCTAGCTATTACACAGAAGGCCTCATTTAAACACAGTTACTTATTTGTGTTTTGAAGCTAATTGTAGTCCATCAACCTTCACAGAAGATATGTGCACTTCTAAGCTATTATTAAGCACAGTTTTTTTTTTCTTTTGAGACAGAGTCTCACTCTCTTGCCCAGACTGGTGTGCAGTGGCATGATCATGGATCACTGCAACTTCTGCCTCCTGGGTTCAAGTGATTTTCATGCCTCAGCCTCCCAAAGTGCTGGGATTACAGACACCCACCACTGCACCTGGCTAAGTTTTGTATTTTTAGTAGAGATGGGGTTTCACCATGTTGGCTTGGCTGGTCTGGAACTCCTGACCTCAGGTTATCCACCTGCCTTGGCCTCCCAAAGTGCTGAGATGACAGGCGTGAGCCACCGCACCCGGCCTTGAGTATGATTTTTGATTGGGAACGTCAGAGTTACGGTTTTAGTCTGAGGACAGTATGACGTGAAGGTGAAAAGTAGAGCTTGGCTGTGAGTTTGCTGGGATTCCTGTGCTACTTCTACAGTTCTTCGGCTGTGTGACCATCACCTTTGGCAAGTTCCTTTACCTTTCTATGTGTTGGTTTCCACATCAATAAAATGGAAAAGAAAATCATAATCATAATATCTATTGGTGTTGGGATAGCCCAGTGGTTGACACATAAGGACTCAAAAATAGTTGTTTTTTTTTTTTTTTTTTTTAAGATGGAGTCTTGCTCTGTTGCCAGGCTGGAGTGCAGTGGTGCAATCTCGACTCACTGCAACCTCTGCCTCCTGGGTTCAAGCGATTCTCCTGCCTCAGCCTCCTGAGTAGCTGAGATTACAGATGCCACCACTCCCAGCTAATTTTTGTATTTTTAGTAGAAACGGGGTTTCACCATGTTGTCCAGGATGCTCTCAATCTCTTGACTTCATGATCCACCCACCTCAGCCTCCCAAAGTTTTGGGATTACAGGCATGAACCACCATGCCTGGCTCAAAAATACAATTATCAATTTTGGGGTGGAGTTACTATATTTTGTGAAAATCAGAATTCAGTACCTTGTAACACTGGGTTGGGATCTATCCCTGAAGGAACAGGCTTCTAAACAGGAAGGCATGGAGAGAGGGGCAAAATTTTAGTGGAAGTTGTAATGACTTTAGGTATATGGACCTGGGGTTAAGTTCTAGCTGCAGCCACCAGGTAGCAAGGTGGACTTTGCTAAATTCTATCACTTTCCTGGGCCTCAGACTCACTTGTTACAAATGGGGTTAAAGCATCCCTCTTTCAGGGCTAAGATAAAGATGATTAAGTAAGAGGGAATGAAAGCAACTTCCATCAATGCTCAAAAGTATTCGTTTAACATTTTTTTTTTTTTTTTGAGATGGAGTCTCTCCCTGTTGACCAGGTTGGAGTGCAGTGGCATGGTCCCGGGTCACTGCAACCTCCACCCCCTGGGTTCAGGTGATTCTCCTGCCTCAGCCTCCTGAGTAGCTGGGACTACAGGTGTGTGCCACCACACCTGGCTAATTTTTGTATTTTTAGTAGAGGTGGGGTTTCACCATGTTGGCCAGGATGGTCTCGATCTCTTGACCTTGTGATCCACCTACCTTAGCCTCCCAAGGTGTTGGGATTACAGGCATGAGCCACCATGCCCGGCCCACTTAACTTCTATATTACTTTCCTGTTGGTGGATTTACCAGTGCAAACTGAGCAGCTTAAACACCACCCAGTTATTATCTCTTTTCATGAGCCAAGGGTCTGGGCAGGGTTTAACTGGGCCTTCTATTCAGGGTCACAATACTGCAACCAGAGTGTCAGCTGGAGCTGGGCTCTCATCAGATGCTCAGGGTCCTCTTCCAAGCTTATTCAGTTTGTGGACTGAATTCAATTTCTTGCAATTGTTGAACGAAGGCCCTCAGCACCTAGAGCTGCCACCTCCAAAGACAGCTCACAGCATGGCCATTTGTGTCTCCTTGGAGGCTAAGGGTTGAATCTCTGAAACCTCACCTTTAAAAGGCTCATATGATTAGGTCTGGCCCACCTAAGATCATCCTGCTTTGGATGAACTCAAAGTCAGCTGAGCAAATGTGCTTAACAAAGCAAGTGTGACCATAATCACATTTGCAAAATTCCTTCCCCTTGGCCAAATCACAAGCTCTGGACACACTCAAGAAGAAGAGATGATACAGGGAGCAGATATAAGGGAGTGGGTCTCTTAGGGGCTGTCCTAGAATTCTGCCCATTACAACTTCCTTTCTCAAGGAACAGCAGGCCTGAGGAGAGATGATCACAGATGAGCACAGCCCACAGGTGGTGAGCACCTGGTGCTGCGGTAGGATGCAGGAGCCTGTGAAGCAAGTATGAAAAGCCTTCTCTGGGCTGGGTGCAGTGGCTCACGCCTGTAATCCCAGCACTTTGGGAGGCCGAGTTGGGCAGATCACGAGGTCAAGAGATCGAGACTATGCTGGGCAACCAACATGGTGAAACCCCATCTCTACTAAAAATACAAAAATTAGCTGGGCATGGTGGCACACGTCTCTAACAACCCAGCTCCCCAAGTGAGAAATTCCTGTCCCTTTTAAGGGCTCACAACTCTAAGGGGGTCCGTGTGAGAGGGTCGTGATCATAAGAGGGTTGTGATCGATTGACCAAGCAGGGAGTATGTGACTGGGGGCTGCATTCAGCAAACCCCAACTCTACTAAAAATACCAAAATTCAGTAATATCTCAGATACAAAATCAATGTACAAAAATCACAAGCATTCTTATACACCAATAACAGACAGAGAGCTAAATCATGAGTGAACTTCCATTCACAATTGCTTCAAAGAGAATAAAATACCTAGGAATCCAACTTATAAGGGACATGAAGGACCTCTTCAAGGAGAACTACAAACCACTGCTCAATGAAATAAAAGAGGATACAAACAAATGGAAGAACATTCCATGCTCATGGGTAGGAGGAATCAATATCATGAAAATGGCCATACTGCCCAAGGTAATTTATAGATTTAATGCCATCCCCATCAATTTACCAATGACTTTCTTCACAGAATTGGAAAAAACGGCTTTAAAGTTCATATGGAACCAAAAAAGAGCCCGCATCGCCAAGGCAATCCTAAGCCAAAAGAACAAAGCTGGAGGCATCATGCTACCTGACTTCAAACTATACTACAAGGCTACAGTAACCAAAACAGCATGGTACTCGTACCAAAACAGAGATATAGACCAATGGAACAGAACAGAGCCCTCAGAAATAATGCCACACATCTACAACTATCTGATCTTTGACAAACCTGAGAAAAACAAGCAATGGGGAAAGGATTCCCTATTTAATAAATGGTGCTGGGAAAACTGGCTAGCCATATGGAGAAAGCTGAAACTGGATCCCTTCCTTACATCTTATACTAAAGTTAATTCAAGGTGGATTAAAGATTTAAATTTTAGACATAAAACCATAAAAACCTTAGAAGAAAACCTAGACAATACAATTCAGGGCATAGGCATGGGCAAGGACTTCATGTCTAAAACACCAAAAGCAATGGCAACAAAAGCAAAAATTGACTAATGGGATCTAATTAAACTCAAGAGCTTCTGCACAGCAAAAGAAACTACCATCAGAGTGAACAGGCAACCTACAGAATGGGAGAAAATTTTTGCAATCTACTCATCTGACAAAGGGACCTATGACTTTCTTATAACCAAGAGAATATGGCAGAGGTGATGGGATGTAGTGATTATGTTAGATAGGATGTGAAGTTGTCTTGCTAGGAGGCTGTCTTGCTGGCTTTGAAGATGTGAGCTGCCATGTCATGAGTGGCCAGATGGAGAGGCCCACGTGGCAAGAAGCTGAGGGAAACAAGAAACTGGGGCCCTGAGTCAACCTGCAAGGAACTGAATTCTGCCAACAACCAGATGAGCCGGGAAGCAGATCAATCACCAGTCAAGCCTCCAGATGAGAACCGAGCCCTGGCTGACACTATGGCTGCAGCCTTGCACTGAACCCAGCTGAGTCACGCCTGGTTTCCTGACCCACAGAAACCACGCAGTGATAACTGTGTGCTGTCTCAAGCCACAAAGTTTGCAGTAATATTGTTGCACAGCAACAGATAACTAATATAAAAACTGTCTTACATCATGTACATTTCTGAGGGAAATGTAGAACCTGGATTTGAGCTCTGATTTCAGAGTTGTGGTCTCAGTCTCCCCAGGGAGACCTGTCCTGGGAGACAGTTATGCCAGGCTGTGATGCTGTGATGATTGTTCTCTTCCTACCCAGAAGCTTTCAATAGGCATGTCAAGCATGTGACCCCAGCTACATATACCAAATGTATTTCTGACAAATGCCAGGACATCGTGAACTTTCTTGTTTTACTGAGAGCTCCATAAAGGAAGGACCATCTCTGTCTTTTTTTTTTTTTTTAAGAGTCTCACTCTGTCACCCAGGCTGGAGTGCAATGGTGTGATCTCGGCTCACTGCAGTCTCTCCCTCCTGGGCTCAAGGGATTCTCCAGCCTCAGCCTCCTGAGTAGCTGGGATCAAAGGCGTGCATCACCACACCCAGCTAATTTCATATTTTTGGTAGAGATGGGGTTTTGTCATGTTGGCCAGGCAGATCTTGAACTCCTGGCCTCAAGTGATCTGCCTACCTCAGCCTCCCAAAGTGCTGGGATTACAGGCGTGAGCCACTGCACCTGGCCTGTCTTTTTTATGCTATGTCCATGCGCGACGGCCCAGTGGTCAGCACACAAAGGGGTCCAAATGTGAAAGGAAAGGGCAAACACAGGGGAAACCTAGGGGTGTTCAGAAATAGTTCCCAGGTCACTGCCTGTTTCAATATGTACAGTCCTTGGCCCCACCCACAAGATTCCGACTTGGCAGGTCGGAGTTGGAGATGCGGAGCTACCTGGTTACGAGGGATCCCAGTGCATTTTGAGGCAGCTGGTTGTTAGACTGCATTATAAAAATTACCCCCAAAGATGTGAAGGGAAACAGAAAGGCAAAGCCAGGCTAGAAAACAATACAAGTAAAACATGAACAAGTTCATTCCAGAAGGAGATTCTCAACCACAGCTGCACGTCAGAATCAGCTCGGGAGATTTTAAAAACCCAGTGCCCAGGCTCTGCATCCCAGATCAATTATTACAGAATCTCCTGGGGATGAAACATGGGCATCAGCATTTTGTGTGTGTGTGTGTGTGTGTGTGTGTGTGTGTTTTTGAGATGGAATCTTGTCATGCAGGCTGGAATGCAGTGGTGCGATCTCAGCTCACTGCAAACTCTGCCTCCTGGGTTCAACGCATTTTCCTACCTCAGCCTTCCGAGTAGCTGGGATTATAGGCATGCACCTCCACGCCTGGCTAATTTTTGTATTTTTAATAGAGATAGGGTTTCACCATGTTGGCCAGGCAGGTCTCAAACTCCTAGCCTCACGTGATCCTCCCGCCTTGGCCTCCCAAGTGCTGGGATTACAGGCATGAGCCATTGCTCCTAGCAGTATTTTTTTAATGAGGCAAAATTCACATAACATACAAGTCCCTGTATGAAACCATACACTTCAGTATCATTAAATACATTCACAACGTTAAGCAATCATCATCTCTGTCTAGTTCCAAAACATTTTCATTAACACCCTCTGCCCCCCCAAAAAATAACCCTGTATCCATCAAGCACTCTCCATCCCCTCCCCTTTCCCCCAGCTCCTGGCAACCACTTACCTGCTTTCTGCCTCTATAGATTTGACTATTCTGGACCTTTCACATAAATGGAATCATGTAATATATATAATAAGCAAAAGGTAACAACAACCAAGCTGGCAATTTGGTTGATGAATGAATAAACAAAATGTGCTGTATCCATACAGTGGAAATATTGGTGCCTACTACATGTGGATGGACCTTGGAAACATCATGCTGAGTGAGAGAGAGCCTTGGTATTGTCTCATCTCCCCAGGAGATTCCAAGGTGCAGCCAAGGTTGAGACCCACTGACAAGCAATGGATATGGTTGGGTGCAGATGAAATAAGGCAGCCAGGGGCAGGAGGGATGTCTCATTGAAGATGACTGTTTGTGGATGCCTAGCAGGGGTGGGGATGAGGTATGATAACAGCAACCCCAATCTCAACACAGCGTGACCGATTTTATCTTCAGTCAGCTGATACACCTCATGGGGTGTGGACACAGGACACCTCTGCCTCCCAGGTTCAAGCGATAATTCCTGCCTCAGCCTCCTAAGTGGCTGGGATTACAGGCATGTACCACCACGCCTAGCTAATTTTTATATTTTTAGTAGAAACACGGTCTCGTCATGTTGCCCAGATTGGTCTCAAATTTCTGGCCTCAAATGATCCACCCACCTCAGCCTCCCAAAGTACTGGGATTACAGGCATGAGCCACAGTGTCCAGCCTCCAAATTCTATTTGAAGTTTGACTTTCCACCTCCAGAAAATCCAAACCTTTGCCCAAGTCACAGTGGGACACCCCGGAGTTAATTTGAGAGAAATGTGTTTTTAAAAACGACTCCAGGCCAGGCGCAGTGGCTCACACCTGTAATCCTAGCACTTTGGGAGGCCGAGGTGGACGGATCACGAGGTCAGGAGATCAAGACCAACCTGGCTAACACGGTGAAACTCCGTCTCCACTAAAAATACAAAAAATTAGCCGGGCATGGTATCACATGCCTGTAAGCCCAGCTACTCAGGAGGCTGAGGCAGGAGAATCGCTTGAACCAGGGAGTCAGAAGTTGCAGTGAGTCGAGATCGCGCCACTGCACTCCAGCCTAGTGACAGAGACAGATTCCGTCTCAAAATTAATAAACAAATAAAACCCTCCGATATGAACACCAAACTAGAATCACTCCATTGACTTCCCTCTGCCAAGCAGGGGGAGTGATGGTGATGTTGCATGAGTGTCTATTTGCATTGAGTCTTAATGGAAAATAAGGTTGTGTCACTCAAAGGAAAAACAAATCACAGCCCAGACTGGAGCTGTGGATGAATAACATGGCTGAGTGTTGGTACAGGCTTTCCACAGCAATATTAAAACTGAAAAAATCAGCAATGAAGCTCCCAGCCACATTTCTGCCTAATGATTTGGGGGAAAACAACAGAGGCACGCCTCAACTTTTCCTTCGCTGCACAAAGTGGGTTTGGCTGGAAATGCCAAATGTGTTTGTTGCTGGGATCTTTCAAATGAAAGCAAGCTGGGAGTCAACCTCCTGCAGCCGCAGGCCAGAAATGGGTTGAGACCAAACTATTATAGTCACACTGGTGCACATCTAAACAGATTTAACTCCCTCACAACAAGCTAGATTAATTTAATATGCTTTCTTAGTGGCATTCCGCATTTCTCATTAAAGCAAATGAACGTCCATCTCTCTGTGATAAATTAGGGCAAAAAAAATTCATATGTTTAGGGCATAGGGAAGGAGGAGTTGTTGGCTGGTAAAAAAAAAAAAAAAAAAAAGTACTGCAAATGGCCTTTCAAAGTCTAGACATCTTCATCATAAACACAAACATTCCTCTTCACAAAGGACCTCAAGTAACCTTAGGCTGGAGGGCCCACCTGCGTATGTTTTTCTTCTCATTCTTTCTTACCTTCCCTCCAGCCCACCCAGCCCACATTCAGTGACCAAGTCACGTGGGTTTTACCTCCTAAATCTTTCTCAGATCCGTTCACTGCTCAGCCACTCTCCTGACACCACCATAAACCAAGCCACCATCACCTCCAGCTGTCTGACTGCAAATGCCTCCTGACTGGCCTCTGTTTTCCCCTGGCCCTGTGACATTCTGCACTCCTCACAGGGACCAAAGCAATCACTTCAGAAGGTGCATCTAAACAGATCACTCACTTTCAATGGCTCCCACTGCTCTGTGGGTTAACAATGATAAAAGCTTGGCCAGGCGCAGTGGCACATGCCCGTAATCCCAGCACTTTGGGAGGCCGAGGCGGGTGGATCACGACGTTAGGAGATCCAGACCATTCTCGCTAACATGGTGAAGCCCGTCTCTACTAAAAATACCAAAAAATTAGCCGGGCGTGGTGGCGGGCGCCTGTAGTCCCAGCTACTCGGGATTCTGAGGCAGGAGAATGGCGTGAACCCGGGAGGCGGAGGTTGCAGTGAGCCGAGATCGCGCCACTGCACTCCAGCCTAGGCGACAGAGTGAGACTCCGTCTCAAAACAAAACAAAACAAAACAATGATAAAAGGTCACCTTTACTGAGCACACACTATCTCGGTCCATCCCTACATCAGCCCTTTATTTCACCAGTGGGGAAGCTGGGACACAGAGTAGTTACGTGGGATGCCCAAGGTGGGACCACTCCTATGAAGTTTCAACACCCTAATGTGAGATCCTCCATGACCTAGCCCCTCTCTTTCTCCAGCCTCATTTCCTGATTCTCTCGCTTGCCCTGCAGGCTTCAACCACACAAACTTCTTGAAAGTACCTTAAATCTGGCTGAGCGCAGTGGCTCATGCCTGTAATCCCAGCACTTTGGGAAGCTGAGGCGGGTGCATCACCTGAGATCAGGAGTTCAAGACCAGCCTGGTCAACATGGTGAAACCCCATCTCTACTAAATATCCAAAAATTAGCTAGGTGTGGTGGAGGGCGCCTGTAATCCCAGCTACTCGGGAGACTGAGACAGGAAAATCGCTTGAACTCAGGAGGCAGAAGTTGCAGTGAGCCAAGATCACACCACTCCACTCCAGCCTGGGCGTCAAGAGCGAAACTCCGTCTCAAAAAAAAAAAAAAAATTAAAAGTCCCTTAAATCTGCTCTATGCCTATCAACCTCAGGGACTTCACTATGCTGTTCCTCACCCTGAAATGCTGTTCCTCATTTTCTGCCTAGTGAACTCATCCCACCCCCTACGCCTCTCCTTAAGTGTCATCTCTTCAAGGAAGATTTTACTTTTTTAATATAACTATTAAAATATAATTCGGGTACTGTATGATTTGCCCATTTAAAGTGAACAAATCAATGGTTTCAGTGCATTCACAGAGCTCGGCAACCACCATTATGATCAATTTTAAAACATTTTCATCACCCCAAAAAGAAACCCTGTATCCATGAGCAGGTACCTGCCATTTCCTCCTCCCACTAAGCCCTGACAATCTACTTTTTTTGAGATAGAGTCTCTGTCACAGGCTGGAGTGCAGTGGCACAATCTCGGCTCACTGCAACCTCTGCCTCCTGGGTTCAAGCAATTCTCCTGCCTCCCAAGTAGCTGGGATTACAGGCTTGTGCCACCACACCCATCTAATTTTATATTTTTAGTAGAGACAGGGTTTCTGTCTTCATAGATTTGCGTGTGCTGGACATTTCATATAAATGAAATCTTATAATATGTGACATTTAGTGACTGGTTTCTTCCACTTAGCATAATATTCTCATGGTTCATCCTTGTTGTAGCACGTGTTAGTACTTCATTCCTTTTGATGACTGAATAATATTCCATTGCATAGTCAAACCATGTTCTACTTCTCCACTCATCAGTAGACAAGCATTTGTGTTGTTTTCACTTTGGCGTTATTGTGAATAATGCTGCTATGAGCATTTGTGTACAAGTTTCTGCATAGACATATATTTTCATTTCTTTCATAAACTGGAGTGGAAGTGCTGGGTCATAGAACTCTGTGTTTAAGCTTTTGAAGAAATGCCAGACTGTAAGAAAGAAAGCCTTTCCTGACCCTGCGAGACTGAGCTCCCTCTCTCCATTTATACGTTCTCTTTATGCCCTTTGCTTCTCTTTCAGAGCAATTCACGTTGATCTGGGTCACCCTCAACTTAAGGCTCATAACTCCCCTAGACCCTCAGGGCCCACACTAAATGTGATGAAATAGGATGCAAGCCACATATTTACTTTTGCATTTTGTAGTAACCATATTTTAAAAAGTAAAACAAAAGAAGTGAAGGTAATTGGAATAATATCACAGATTTAAATAAATCTATCCAAAATACCAGGTCTACATGTATAAACTATTTTAACATTAACACAATGTTTTCTTTTTATATTAAGGCCTCACAATCTAATGTGTATCTGACACTTCTCACACATCTCAGTATGATGGCAGCACCCCATATGGGAGGCCCTCCCATGATGCCAATGATGGGCCCTCCTCCTCCTGGAATGATGCCAGTGGGACCTGCTCCTGGAATGAGGCTGCCATGGGAGGCCACATGCCCATGATGCCTGGGTGCCCAATGATGAGACCTCTTGCCCATCTCATGATGGTGCCCAGTTAGCCCAGAATGACTTGACCAGACAGATAAGGATAGAGGGGAGGCCTCATTACATCAGTGTTGTTTTTTTGTTGTTGTTGTTGTGTGTTTTTTCTTTTGTTTTGTTTTTGAGACAGAGTCTTCCTCTGTCGCCCAGGCTGGAGAGCAGTGGCACGATCTCAGCTCACTGCAACCTCCACTTCCTGGATTCAAGTGATTCCCCTGCCTTAGCTTCCTGAGTAGATGGGACTACAGGCATGCGCACCATGCCTGGCTAATTTTTTTTATTTTAGTAGAGACAGGGTTTCACCATGTTGGCCAGGATGGTCTCAATCTCCTGACCTCATGACCTGCTTGCCTCAGCCTCCTAAAGTGCTGGGATTACAGGCGCGAGCAGCTGCGCCCGGCCTATATGACTTTATATTTACCTGCTCCCTTCACCAGGAGATCATGGGCTGTGATGCTGGGTTTTCTTAACAGCATAAGGAAGACTTGCCCCCTTGCCCTATCAAAGAGAATAGTTTTGGAGGGGAGAAGTGGGACCAAAAAAGATGCAGTTTTCATTTGTATTGGGAAATGTGAAAATAAAATTGTCAATTCTTTTAGTTAAAAACAAAAAAAAAAAGAAAAGGAAACAAGATGTGGGGCTGCCATATGCAATACCATGGATTCCAAGGATCTTCTACTCTGGAGGCAAAGATTATCTTTGCTGAAGCCAGACCAACCTGACCCAAAGACCTTTTGTTTTTTTAAAGTGACTGTGTTTTATTTTACAATGTGTAATTCACTTTAGAAGGGCAAAGTACCTGTCTGGGAAAGACTATTTAATTTCCTGCATTTATTTAGAATGTTGGCTGATATTATTATGAAGGGAAACAGCTCTAACAAGTGAGTGCCCCCCACATAGACACAGCTCATGAGTTCACGGGGCAAAGGAATTGAACAGCAGCTTCCTAATAGCCGGCCTTCTTTGTGGTATGGAAATAATTATCAGCATGTAAAAGACTATACATATATTCAACAATTCTGACCCCCTGCAAAATTCAAATCTACAACTGATTTGCTTCCTGGGCTCCTGAAAACAACTTTGTCAAAATTGTTCAGAAATAAAATCAGCCAATCGTTGCCCCTTGGGGACGCAGGACAAAGCAAGTCAGCCATGACCAATGTGGAGTCGGCCGTACACAATTACATGCAGACCTGCAGGACATCGAGTCCCTGCTATGGTCCCTCCCCAGTCAGGCCCCCATTGCCTGGGCTGCAGCCAGAAGGATTCAGGCACAAGTGCATTCAACAAATACTTATTTAATTGTATTGGTGGTTAGAGTGTTGCCGTTGATTAAGGTACATTAATGGATCCATGTCCTCCCTGTAACCAAGACTCTGCCATTTGTCTCTGCAGCTCCTCCCACTGAAGAATTGGAGTATATTTCTCCAGCCCCTAATGTTGCATTTAGTCACATGTCTAGCTTTGGCCACTGGAATATTAATCTACATGACCAAAAACTTGGAAAGTGTGCATTCATTTGTGCTCACTCACTCCTGCTATCACCAAAAGAACAAGCCCAGGCCAGACTGCTGCTTCCAGCAGAAGATAAGAGACACCAAGAGCAAAGTCAAGCTTCCCAGACACGCTCATGCCAGATTAACCAATCCTCAGCTGACCCATAGATCCATGAAAATAAACAATTGTTGTATTAAGCCACTGAGATTTGGAGTGACTTGTTATGCAGCATTTTGTGACAACAACTAACTGATACAAGGGTCACCATCCTTTATCTCTGTAGATTTTAACCAATTTTTAATAGCTAATTGGAGATCTTCTAGTTGCCTTTATTTATAATGAATACGACTGTAGAGCTAGTTTGGCCTGACACTACCAGTAACCTACCCAGAAATTCAGAAATACTTTCTTCTCCAACCTCCCCAACCAACCTTTTTGTTTGTTTGTTTGTTTCTGGGTTCTCCCCCTTTGCCTAGGCTAGAGTAGAAGTGGTACAGTCAGAGGCAAACAGTTTGCCACTGTAACCTCAAAATCCTGGGCTCAAGTGATCTTCCCCTTCAGCCTCCTGTCTAGCTAAGACTACAGACATGTGCCACCATGCCTGGCTAATTTTTTTATTATTTGCAGAGACAGGGTCTCACTATATTGCCCAAGTTGGTTTCAAACTCCTGGCCTCAAGCAGTCCTCCTGCCTCATCCTCCCAAAGTGCTAGGATTATAGGCATGAGCCACCACACCCAGCCTCTTCTTCTTTTTAAATAGAAACCCTATTTTATTCTGACAGTGGGTTGCTTTCTTTTTTTTTTTTTTTTTAAGAAAAAGTTGGCCCAGCCCCAGGGAATAAATCGTGACTGTTCTAAACAGGGTTGGCAAACTATAGACCAAGGGCCAAATCTGGCCCTCTGACTGTTTGTATAAATTAAGTTTTACTGGAATAAACCCAGGTCCATTCATTTATGCCTTGTCTACATATGCTTTTAGGCTATGATGGCACCACTGCGTCACTGCAACAGAGGTTATCTAGACCAAAAGCCTAAAATATTACCGTTTGCCTCTTTATGGAAAAAGTTTGCCATTCCCTAGTCTAAGGTTTAGATTCTGAGCTTATCATTTTAGCCTAATCCCCCTTACCAGTGACTGGCTCAAAACAAGTCTGTGATTCCATTCTGACAGTTCTACTGAGGGAATTCCCCCTTCTTCTCATGCAGAGCTGATGAGGGCAGTTTGTATTAATAGGACATATGCTCAGGTTTTCTGAAAAATACTTTTATCTAGAAATGCATAGGAATATGCTGAGGCCTGAGTGTACCATCTGGGGGCCTAGAGATTGACTCACCTGCCTCCAGAGCTAGCGCTCACACTTACTACTGAGAGGCCTGAGTAAACACCTGTCTACCCACCACCAGAACCTGCACACATCACCTGGAGAACTATAGATCAGACTGCCACACACGCCACCCAGGAGCCCAGTGGCGCACCTGCCCGCCTGGCCCAGTGCTGCCACTGCCAGCAACCAAAGAAGCCACCTGGGGGCCCAAGGATTGGCCCACGTAGACAGGCTATCATCAGTGCCCATATACACTGCCCATGGTCCCTAGTATTGACAAACCTGGTCCACCACCACTACCACTGATGCTGAAGGACAAGACTTCCTGGCATCCCCATCCTCAGCAAAGCCTCATCACAGCCTCAAATAACAACTGCAGTCTGGCCAGGTGTGGTGGCACACGCCTGTAATCCCAGCACTTTGAGAGGCCGAGGTGGGTAGATCGTGAGGTCAGGAGTTTGAGACCAGCCTGGCCAACATGGTGAAACCCCGTCTCTACTAAAAATACAAAAATTAGCTGGGCATGGTTGCACATGCCTGTAGTCCCAGCTACTCAGGAGGCTGAGGCAGGAGAATCACTTGAACCCAGGAGGCAGAGGTTGCAGTGAGCTGAGATTGTGTCACTGAACTCCAGCCTGGTGACAGAGCTAGACTCCATCTCAACAACCACACACAAAAAAAAAAAAAAAAAAACACAAAACTGCAGTCTAAGCCACTGAATGACTCACAGACACCACTCATGCCAATTACAGCTGAAGAAATCATATGCAGACTATGCCACTGTACCCACCCAGAATCAAAGCCAAAGTGTGATATCCAATGAATACTGTAGCTACAGCTATAAGAAAAGGTTTTCCCATATAAAAGCCAATCCATAAAATTGGAAGAAGTGACTGTTATGTCAAAGGCACAGATAGTCACATAAGGATGCAAGAAAGATGAAAAAGGAAACATAACATCTCCAAAGAAGCACAATAATTCTCCAGCAACAGATTCCAAAGAAAAGAAAATCTATGAAATGACTGAGAAAAATTCAAAATAATGTTATTAAAGAAAGTCAGGGAGATACAAGAGAACACAGATAATGAATATAAAAAGTCAGGAAAACAATTCATGATCTGAATGAGAAATTCAACAGAGATAGACAGCATAACAAAGAACCAAACACAAATCCTGGAAAAGAATAAATCATTGAAAGAAATACAAAAGATAATTGACAGCTTTAACAATAGACTAGATCAAGCAAAACAAAGAATTTCTGAACCTGAAGCCTAGTCTTTTAAAATAATCCAGTCAGACAAAAAGAAAGAAAAAAGAATGAAGGAAGGCTACATGATATATGGGACACATATGTGACCAAAAACTGAAATTCTGGGAGTTCTGGATGGAGACGAGATGGGTAAAGGCATAGAAAACCCATTTAATAAAATAATAACTGAAAACTTCCTGAAAGCTTCCAAATACAGGAAGCTCAAAGATTACCAAATAAATACAACTCAAAGAGATCTTCTCCAAGGCACATTATGGTAAAATTGTCAAAAGACAAAGAGAAAATGCTGAAAACAGCAAGAGAAAAGCATGAAGTCACTTAGAATCTCCATCAGGCTAACGGGATTTCTCAGCAGAAACCTTGCAGGCTAGGAGAAAAGGGGATGTATACTACAAGTAAAAAAAAGAAAAAAAAAATGTAAGCCAAAAATACTATACCCAGCAAAGATATCCTTCACAAATGAAGGAGCCTGGCACAGTGGCTCACATCTGCAATTCCAGAGACTCAGAAGGCTGAGGCAGGAGGATTATTTGAGCCCAGGAGTTCAAGGCTGCAGTGAGCTATGATCATGCGACTGTACTCCAGCCTGGGTGACAGAGTGAGACTCCATTGCTAAAAAAAGAAATACATAAATAAAAGAGAAAAAGAGTATTTCCCAGATAAGAAAAAGACTGTTTGTTTGGGTCTTGTTTGTTGTGGTCCTAGAAGAAATGCTTAAGGGAGTCCTACATTGGGAAGCAAGAGAACAATATCTACCATCAGGAAAATACATGAAAGTATAAAATTCACTGGCAGAGCAGACACACAAAGAAGAAAGGATTCAAACAACACCACTACAGAAAACCACCGAACTGCAACCATAAATAATGAGAGAAAAAAAGAACAAAGGTGTATTAGTCTGTTTTCACACTGCTGATAAAGACATACCTGACTGAGACTGGGCAATTTACAAAATAAAGAGGTTTAATGGACTTACACTTCCACATAGCTGAGGAAACCTCACAATCAAGTTGGAAGGCAAGAAGAAGCAAGTCATGTCTCACATGGATGGCAGCAGGCAAAGAGAGAGCTTCTGCAGGGAAACTACCCTCTTTAAAACCATCAGACCTTGTGAGATGTATTCACTATCATGAGAACAGCATGGGAAAGACCTGCCCCCATGACTCAATTGCTTCCCACCAGGTCCCTCCCACAACATGTGGGAATTCAAGATGAGATTTGGGTGGGGACACAACCAAACCATATCATTCTGTCCCTGACCCTTCCCTAATCTCATATCCTCACATTTCAAAACTAATCATGCCTTCCCAACAGTCCCCCAAACTCTTAACTAAGTTCAGCATTAACTCAAAAGTCCACAGTCCAAAGTCTCATGTGAGACAAGGCAAATCCCTTCTGCCTATGAGCATGTAAAATCAAAAACAAGTTAGTTACTTCCTGGATACAATGGGGGTATACGCATTGGGTAAACACAGTCATTCCAAATGGGAGAAAATTGCCAAAACAAAGCGGCTACAGGCCCCATGCAAGCCCAAAATCCAGTAGGGCAGTCAAATCTCAAAGCTCAAAAATGATCTTCTTTGACTCCATGTCTCACATGCAGGTCATGCTGATGTAAGAGGTGGGCTCCCATGGCCTTGGGAGAAAAAAGGCCACAGCCCCACTCCTGTGGCTTTGTAGGGTATAAACCCCCTCCTGCCTCCTTTCATGGGTTGGCATTGAGTGTCTGCAGCTTTTCCAGGCACACAGTGCAAGCTGTCAGTGAATCCACCATTCTGCGGTCTGGAGGATGGTGGCCCTCTTCTCACATCTCCACTAGGTGGCGCTGCAGTAGGGACTCTATGTGGGGGCTCCGACCCCACATTTCCCTTCTGCACTGCCCTAGTAGAGGTTCTCCATGAGTGCCCTGTCCCTGCAGCAAACTCCTGCCTGGACGTCTAGGCATTTCCATACATCTTCTGATATCTAGGCAGTGGTTCCCAAACCTCAATTTTTGACTTCTGTGCACCCACAGGCTCAACACTATGTGGAAGCCGCTAAGGCTTGGGGCTTGCACCCTCTGAAGCCACAGCCCATGTTGTACCTTGGCTCCTTTTAGCTGCAGCTGGAGTGGCTAGGACTCAGGAACCCTAGGCTGCTCACAGCAGGGGGGCCCTGGGTCCAGCCCACAAAACCATCTATTCTTCCTCTGGGCCTTTGATGGGAGGGGCTGCCATGAAGATCTATGACATGCCATGGAGACATTTTCCCCATTGTCTTGGGGATTCACATTTGACTCCTCCTTACGTAAACAAATTTCTGCAGCCAGATCGAATTTTTCTTGAGAAAATGGGATTTTCTTTTCAATTGCATTTTCAGGCTGCAAATTTTCCAAACTTTCATGCTCTGCTTCCCTTATAAAACTGAGGGCCTTTAACAGCACCCAAGTCATCTCTTGAATGCTTTGCTGCTTAGAAATTTCTTCTACCAGATACCCTAAATCATCTCTCTCAAGTTCAAAATTCCACAAATCTCTACAGCAGGGGCAAAAAGCCACCAGTCTCTTTGCTAAAACATAACAGGAGTCACCTTTGTGCCAGTTCCTGACAAGTTCCTCATTTCCATCTGAGACAACCTTGGCCTAGACTTTATTGTCCATATAACCATCAGCATTTTGGGCAAGTCTCTAGGAAATCTCTTCCAAATTTTCCCACATTTTCCTGTCTCCTTCTGAGCCCTCCAAACTGTTCCAACCTCTGCCTGTTTCCCAGTTCCAAAGTCACTTCCACATATTCAGGTATCTTTTAGCAACATCCCACTTCTGGTACTAATTTACTGTATTAGTCCATTTTCACACAGCTGATAAAGACACATTCAAGACTGGGAAATTTACAAAAGGAAGAGGTTTAATGGACTTACGGTTCTACATTGCTGGGGAGGCTTCAAAATCATTGCAGAAGTCAAGGAGAGGCAAGTCACATCTTACAGGGATGGCAGCAGGCAAAGAGAGAGCTTGAGCAGGGAAACTCCTCCTTTTAAAACCATCAGATCTCACGAGACTTATTCACTATCAAAAGAATAGCATGGGAAATACCTGCCTCCGTGATTCAACTACTTCCCACTGGGTCCCTCCCACAACACATGGGAATTCAAGATGAGATCTGAGTGGGGACACAGCCAAACCATATCAAAAGGATATACAAAATAACCAGAAAACAATGAACAAATTGACAGGAATAAGTCTTCACCTATCAATAATCACTTTGAATATGGGTTAAATTACCTACCTAAAAGATAGAGAGAGGCTTAATGGATAAAAAATGACCCAACAACGTCTACAAGAAACTCACTTCACTTGTAAAGACACACACAGACTGAAAGTGAAGGGATTGAAAAAGATATACCACACAAACAGAAATCAAAAGTAACCAGGAGTAGCTAAACTTACATCAGATAAAACAGACTTTAAGTTAAAAACTGTAAAAAGGACAAAGAAGGTCATTATATGGTAATAAAGGGATCAATTCTGCAACAAAGTATAACAATTCTAAATATGCATGCAACCAACACAAGCACATCCAGACACACATAGCAAATATTATTAAATCTACAGGGAAAGATAGAGTCCAATACAATGATAGTTGAGAACTTCAATATCCTACTCTCAGCATTGGACAGTTCATCTAGACATAAAATCAACAAAGAAACCTCAGATTTAAGCTGCACGTTAGACCAAATGGACCTAACAGATATTTTCAGAATATTTCATCCAGCGGCAGCAGAATATACAATCATCTCATCAACACATGGAACATTCTCCAGGAAAGACCATATGTTAGGACACAAAACAAGGCTCAACAAAATTTTAAAAATTAAAATCATATCAAGTATCTTCTCAGACCACAATGGAATAAAACTTGAAATCAATAAGAAGAAGAAATTTGGAAACTGTACAAATACATGGACATTAAACGTGCTATTGAATGATCATTGGATCGATGAAGAAATTAAGATGGATATCAAAAAATTTTTTTAAACAGAAAATGGAAACACATCATGCAAAATCTATGGGATACAGCAAAAGCAGTACTACAAGGAAAGTTTATAGCAATAAATGCCTACACCAAGAAAGTAGAAAGATTTCAAATAAACAACCTAATGATGAACCTCAAGGAACTCAAATAGCAAGAACAAACCAAACACAAAATTAGTAGAAAGAAAAAATAATAAATAACATAGCAGAACCAAATGCAACAGAGACAAAATAGAAATGCAAAGAATCAACAAGATAAAAGTTGGTTTTTTGAAAAGTTAAACAAAATTGAAAAACCACTAGTGAGGCTAACCAAAACAAACAAACAAACAAACAAACAAAAACAAAAAAGGAGACCTAAATAAATGCAATCAGAAATGAAAAATGAGACATTACAACTGTTACTAAAGAAATAAAAAGGATCATTAGAGGCTATTATGAACAACCATATGCTAACAAATTGGAAAACCTAGAGGAAAGGGATAAATTCCCAGACATACACAGCCTACCAAGATTGAACTAGGAAGAAACAGAAAACCTGAAATGACACAAAATGAATAGCAGGTTTGAATCAGTAACAAAAAGTCTCCCAAAAGAGAAAAGCCCTAGACTAGGCTTTTATGCTGATTTCTACCCAATTTATAAAGAAAAACAAACACCAATACTTCTCAAACTATTCCCAAAAATTGAAGAGGAGGGAATTCTTCCTAACTCATTGTATAAGGCCAGCATTACCTTGATATCCAATGAAGACAAGGACACAACAAAAAGAGAAAACTACAGGCCAATATTCCTAATGAACACAAATGGAAAAATTCTCAGCATAATACTACCAAGCCAAATCTAATGATGAATGAAAAAGATAATATACCATGATCAAGTGGGATTTATCCCAGGAATGCAAAGATGGCTCAACATACACAAATCAATACATGTGATACATCACATCAACAAGATGAAAGTCAAAAACTATCTGATCATCTCAGCAGATGCAGAAAGAAAAATCACTCGGTAAAACTTACCATGCCTTCATGATGAAAACTCTCAACAAATTATGCATAGAAGGAACACTTCAACATAAGAAAAGGCATATATGACAAATCTACAGCTAACTTCCTACTCACTGGGAAAAATTGAAAAGCCTTTCCTCTAATAACTGGAAGAAGACAAGGATGCCCACTTTCACCACTCTTATTCAACACAGTATGGGACATCCAAGCCAGAGTGATAAGATAAAGAAATAAAAGGCATCCAAAATGGACAAGAGGAAGTCAAATTGTCTCACTTTGCAGATGACATAATCTTATACTTGTAAACAGAAAAACCTAAAGACTCCACCAAAAAACTCTTAAAATGGGTAAATTAGGCTGGGCATGGTAGCTCATGCCTGTAATCCCAGCACTTTGGGAGGCCAAGGTGGGCGGATCACCTGAGGTTGGGAGTTTGAGGCCAGCCTGGTAAACATGGTGAAACCCTGTCTCTAATAAAAATACAATTAGCCAGACATGGTGGTAGGTGCTTGTAATCCCAGCTACTTGGGAGGCTGAAGCAGGAGAATGGCTTGAACCCGAGAGGTGGAGGTTGCAGTGAGCCAAGACTGCACTACTGCACTCCAGCCTGAGCAACAGAGTGAGACTCTATCTCAAAAAATAAAAAATAAAAAATTTTGTAAAGAACGGATGTATAATTCAGTAAAGCTTCAGGACACAAAATCAACATACAAAAATCAGTAATGTTTCTATATACCAGTAACAAACTAGCTAAAATAGAAATCAAGGAAGAAATTCTATTTACAATAGCTACAAAAATAAAATGCCTAGGAATAAACTTAACCAAGGATGGGGAAAAAAAAAACCAAAAAAACTCTACAATGAAAACCACAGAACACTGATAAAATAAATTGAGAAGGACAGGAACAAATGGAAAGGGATCTCATGCTCGTGGGTTGGAATAACTAATACTGTTAAAATGACCATGCTACCCGAAACAATCTAGAGATTCAGTATAATCCCTATCAATTATATTCTTCACAGAAACAGGAAAAAAAATAACCCTGAAATTCATATGGAACCACAGAAGACCCCAAGTAGCCAAAGCAATACTGAGCAAAAAGAACAAAGCTAGAAGCCTCACACTACCTGATTTAAAAATATACTGCAAAGCGGCCGGGCGCGGTGGCTCATGCCTGTAATCCCAGCATTTTGGGAGGCCGAGGCGGGTGGATCACAAGGTCAGGAGATCGAGACCATGCTGGCTAACATGGTGAAACCCCGTCTCTACTAAAAAAAAAAAAAAAAAAAAATTAGCCAGGTGTGGTGGTGGGTGCCTGTAGTCCCAGCTACTCGGGAGGCTGAGGCAGGAGAATGGCGTGAACCCGGGAGGCAGAGCTTGCAGTGAGCCAAGATCGCGCCACTGCACTCCAGCCTGGGCGACAGAGCAAGACTCTGTCTCAAAAAAAAAAAAAGTGTATATATACACACGTATATATATACGTGTATATATATACTTATATGTGTATATATACGTGTATATATATATGTGTGTGTATATATATATATACACACACTGCAAAGCTATAGTAACCAAAAAAGCGTGTATTGGTATTAAAACAGACACAAAAACAAAGGAAACAGACTAAAGAATCCAGAAATGAATCCACATATTTACAGCTAACTGATTTTCAAGAAGCTGTCAAGAACATACATTGAATAAAGGACAACCTCTTCATTAAATGGTGCCAGGGAAACTAGATATCCAAACACAGAAGAATAAAACTAGACCCTTATCTCTCATCACTTACAAAAATAAACTCAAAATCAATTAAAGACTTAAATGTAACAGCCACAACTATGAAACTACTAGAAGTAAACACAGGAGAAACGCTTGAGAACAAAGATTGTATGGCTAACACTTAAAAAGTACAAGCAACAAAAACAGACAAATGGGATTATATTAAACTAAATACCTTCTGCATATCAAAGAAAGCAATCAACAGAGTGAAAAGACAACACCCCTCCCTTACACCATACTCAAAAATTAACTCAAGATGGCTTAAAGACTTAAATGTAAAACCCATAACTATAATAACGCTGGAAGACAACTTAGGCAATACCATCCGGTACATAGTGATGGGCAAAGTGTTCATGGTGAAGATGCCAAACGCAATTGCCACAAAAGCAAAAATTGACAAATGGGATCTAATTAAATGAAAGAGCTCCTGCACAGCAAAAGAAACTATCAAAAAATAAACAGACATTTCTCAAAAGAAGATATACAAATCACCAAGTTTATGAGAAAATATTCAACATCACTAATCATCACGGAAATGCAAATCAAAACCACAATGAGATATCATCTCACACTTGTTAGAATGGCTATTATGAAAAAGACAAAGCACAACAAATGCTGGAAAGCATGTGAAGAAAAGAAAATTATTGTATGTTGTTGGTGGGAATGTAAATTAGTACAGCCATTATGAAAAAAAGTACAGAGATTTCTCAAAAAACTAAGAACAGATCTACCATATGATCCAGCAATCCCACTCCTGGGTATGTATCCAAAAAAAAGGATATCAGTGTATCAACGGGATATCTGTACCCCCATATTTACTGCAGCACTATTTACAATAGCCAAGATATGGAGTCAATCTAAGTGTCAATCAATCAATGGATGAATGGATAAAGAAAATGGGAACATATGCACAATAGAATAGTATTCAGCCATAAAGAAAATGAAATCCTGTCATTTTCAGCTAAATGGATGGAATTAAAGGTCATAAAGTTAGGTGAACTAGGCCATGCACAGAAAGAAAACTATTGCATGTTCTCACTTATATGAGCAGTTTATGCTCCTGGAAATCAAAGCGGGGGCCATGTTTCAGGTCAGTAGGGTCAGGGAGAGAGACCGCAGTTATGGACTTGTGTGCCCTGGAGCTATATAAAATTGATATCATGGAGATAAAGAGTAGAATGATAGTTAACAGAGGCTGGGAATAGGAAGTTGATTAATGGGTATAAAAAGAGGTTGATTCATGGGTATAAAAATATATAATAGAAGGAATAAGATCTAGGGTTCATTATCACAGAAAGTGACTACAACAATTTGTTGTATATTTCTTTTTTTTTAATTTCAATAGTTTTTAGGGAACAGGTGGTATTTGGTTACATGGAGAAGTTCCTTAGTGGTGATCTCTGAAATTTTGGCGTACCCATCACCAAAGCAGTTTACTCAGTGTATAGTCTTTCCTCTCTCACCCCCTCCCACCTTCCCCCTGAGCCCCCAACGTCCACTGTTTCATTCTTGTGCCTTTGCATCATCATAGCTTAGCTCCCACTTATGAGTGAGAACATGCAATGTTTGGTTTTCCATTCCTGAGTTACTTCATTTAGAATAATGGTCTCCAACTCCATCCAGGTTGCTATGAATGCCATTATTTCATTCCTTTTTAAGGCTAAGTAGTATTCTATGGTGTGTGTGTGTGTGTGTGTATATATATATATATATATATATATAACACATTTTCTTTATCCACTAATTGATTGATGGGCATTTGGGCTGGTTCTATAGTTTTGCAACTGTGAATTTTGCTACTGTAAACATGTGTGCAAAAGTATCTTTTTCATATAATGACTTCTTTTCCTCTGGGTAGATACCTAGAAGTGGGGTTGCTGGATCAAATGGTAGATGTACTTTTAGTTCTTTAAGGAATCTCCATACTGCTTTCCATAGTGGTGGTACTAGCTTACATTCCCACCAGCAGTGTAAAACCGTTCTCTTTCACCACGTCCATGCCAACATCCATTTTTGCTTTTTTTGTTTTTTGTTTGTTTGTTTGTTTTTGTTTTTTTTGAGATGGAGTCTCGCTCTGTCACCCAGGCTGGAGTACAGTGGTGCAATATCAGCTCACTGCAACCTCTGCCTCCCGGGTTCAAGCAATTCTCCTGCCTCAGCCTCCTGAGTAGCTGGGATTACAGGTAACCACCACCATGCCAGGCTAATTTTTGTATTTTCAGTAGAGACTGGGTTTCACCATGTTGGTCAGGCTGGTCTCAAACTCCTGACCTCCTGATCTGCCCACCTCGCCTCCCAAAGTGCTGGGATTACACGCGTGAGCCACAACGCCCGGCCCTATTTTTGTTTATTTTACACGTGGTATTGCATTGTGGTTTTGATTTGCATTTCCCTGGTAATTAGTGATGTTGAGCATTTTTTCATATGTTTGTCGGCCATTTGTATATCTTCTTTTGAGAATTGTCTATTCATGTCCTTGGCACACTTTTTGATGGGATTATTTTTTTCTTGCTGATTAGAGTTCCCTGTAGATTCTGGACATTAGTCCTTTGTCAGATGCAGTTTGTGAAAATTTTCTCCCATTCTGTGGGTGATCTGTTTACTCTGCTGATTATTTCCTATGCTGTGCAGGAGGCTTTTAGTTTAATTAAGTCCCATCTATTTATCTTTGTTTCTGTTGCATTTGCTTTTGGGTTCTTGGTCATGAACTGTTTGCCTAAGCCAATGTGTAGAAGCGTTTTCCAAAGTTATCTTCTGAATTTTTATGGTTTCAGACCTTAGATTTAAGTCTTTGACCCATCTTGTGTTGATTTTTGTATAAAGTGAGAGATGAGAATCCATTTTTATTCTTTTACATGTGGCTTGCCAATTATCCCAGCACTATTTGTTGTATAGGGTGTACTTTCCCTACTTTGTTTTTGTTTACTTTGTCGAAGATCAGTTGGCTGTTAAGTATTTGGCTTTATTTCTAGGTTCCCTACTCTGTCCCATTGGTCATGTGCCTATTTTTATACCAGCACCATGCTGTTTTGGTGACTATAGCCTTGTAATATACTTTGAAGTTGGGTAATGTGATGCCTCTAGATTGGTTCTTTTTGCTTAGTTTTCCTTTGGCTATGCAGACTTTTTTAGTTCTAAATGAATTTTGGCTTTTTTTTCTAGTTCTATAAAGAATGATGATGGTATATTGATAGGAATTGCATTGAATTTGTAGACTGCTTTTGGCAGTATGGTCATTTTCACAATATTGAGTCTACCCATCCATGAGCATGGAATGTGTTTCCATTTGTTTGTGTCATCTATTTCTTTCAACAGTGTTTTGTAGTTTTCCTTGTAGGGGTCTTTCACCTCCTTGGTTAGGTATATTCCTAAGTATTTTATTTTTACAGCTATTATAAAAGGGTTTGATTTGATTCTCAGCCTGGTAGATGTTGGTGTATAGCACTGCTACTTATTTGTGTACATAGATTTTGTATCCTGATAAATGGATTTATTGTATATTTCTAAATAGCAGTAAGATTTGAAATATTCCCAATACAAAGAAATGATCAATGTTTGAGGTGATTAATATCCTAAAGACCCTGATTTGATCATTACACATTGCGTGCATGTACCAGAATCTCACATGGACCCCATAAATGTGTACAATTATTCTCTATCTAAAACATTTTTTTAAGAAACATGCAGGAATACACTGTACCTCTTCCTTGCTGTCTCTGGATATTGTCACATGAGGACTTGACATGCGGATTGTGGCAGCCTCTGTGACCAAGAGCAGAAGACAATAGCAGCATGGAAACCTCAAATGAAAAACCTAACATCTCAAGCTACTAATTTAGCCAACCTTGGCATCAGCTATCTCTGGTCTTAGTACATGAGGTGATAAGCCCCCACTGTTCAAGTTGGGTGGACATCAATTGCTGCAGAATAGAAGTTAATGAGGTTTCCTCCTCCTGGATCCCCTACTAGACCCTGACATACCCATTCAGTCACAGGCAGAAAGGGAAGCAAAGGATAAGGAGACCTGGCTGGCTGTGCCAGACGCAGATTTTACCTGTCCTGCTTAAAACACTCAAAGCTCAATTGGTTAAACAAAAAAAGGAAAAAGACAGTAAGGAGTATAACACTACCCAGATGCAACTTAATCTAACACTCTATACTTTAAACTTTCTAAACATACATAGAAATCAGACCGCTACCTCTGCAGAACATTTTACTGGTAAAAAGAACAGCCCACATGAGGGAAAACTGATTTGGTGGAAAGACAACAAAAACAAAACATGGGAAATAGGGAAGGTGATAACATGGGGAAGAGGTTTTGCTTGTGTTTCACCAGGAGAAAATCAGCTTCCTGTTTGGATACCCACTAGACATTTGAAGTTCTACAATGAACCCATCAGAGATGCAAATGAAAATGCCTCCGCAGAGACAGAAAACCCGCAATCGAGCATCGTCGACTCGCAGGGTGAACAAAATGGTGATATCAGAAGAACCAATGAAGTTACCATCCACCAAGAAAACGGCACATGTGGAGAGCCAGGGAGAAGAATAGAAAGAAAAAGAGACAGAGATCAGAGACAGACACAGAAAGTGAGACTGGGGAGAGAGATAGTATAAAAGAGAGAGACTGTAAGAGAAAGGAGACAAAGAGATAAAAGGTGCGAGTGAACAGGTGAGGAGAAAGACCGAAAACTATGAGAAACAGCAACTAAGACACAAAGGAGGTGGGAGACTGCCTGGGTACTGCAGCACCCACACCGTCCTCTTGCCCCCTGTCACTTGGGTTAAAACCACTGGAAATTGCACTGTTGCAAATTTTGTATTAATCCTTGTATGTCTGTCCTTTCTATTGGTAGTTTACAGGTGTATCCAGCAGCTCCAGAGAGACAGCGACCAGCGAGAAGGGGCCATAATGATGGTGGCGGTTTTGTCAAAAAGAAAAGGGGGATATGCAGGGAAAAGAAAGAGAGATCAGACTGTTACTGTGTCTACATAGAAAGGGAAGACATAAGAGACTCCATTTTGAAAAAGACCTGTACTTTAAACAATTGCTTTGCTGAGATGTTCTTAATCTGCGGCTTTGCCCCAGCCAGTTTGACCAAACCACTTTGACCCAACCTGGAGCTAACAAAAACATGTGTTGTATGAAATCAAGGTTTAAGGGATGTAGGGCTGTGCAGGACGTGCCTTGTTAACAAAATGTTTACAAGCAGTAGACTTGGTAATACTCATCGCCAATCTCTAGTCTCAATAAACCAGGGGCACAATGCACTGCAGACAGTTGCAAGGACTTCTGCCCTTGAATGCTGGGTATTGTCCAGGGTTTCTCCCCATGTGATAGTCTGAAATATGGCCTCATGGGATGAGAAAGACCTGACGGTCCCCCAGCCCGACACCCGTAAGTCTGTGCTGAGGTGGATTAGTCAAAGAGGAAAGCCTCTTGCAGTTGAGACAGAGGAAGGCCACTGTCTCCTGCCTGTCCCTGGGAACTGAATGTCTTGGTATAAAACCCGATTGTACATTTGTTCAATTCTGAGATGGGAGAAGAACCGCCCTAAGGTGGGAGGCAAGACATGTTTACAGCAATGCTGCCTTGTTATTCTTTACTCCGCTGAGATGTTTGGGTGGAGAGAAACATAAATCTGGCTTACGTGCACGTCCAGTGATAGTAACTTCCCTTGAACTTCATTATGACATAGATTCTATTGCTCACATGTTTATTGCTGACCTTCTCCTTATTATCACCCTGCCCTCCTACTACATTCCTTTTTGCTGAAGTAATGAAGATAATAATCAATAAAAACTGAGGGAACTCAGAGACCGGTGCCAGTGCAGGTCCTTGGTATGCTATGCGCCGGTCCCCTGGGCCCACTGTTGTTTCTCTATACTTTGTCTCTGTGTCTTATTTCTTTTCTATCTCTCATCCCACCTGGTTAGAAATACCCACAGGTGTGGAGCGGCAGGCCACCCATTCATTATGAGATTACAGGCATGAATAACCCCACCTGGCCACCTAACTCACTCTTGAGAGGCCAGAAGTGATGCTGGAACTCTCTTCCTCTGTGGGTTAAAAAGGGAAAATTAGGGAGAACACAAGGCATGAGAGATGCAGCGATGGATATGTCTATATGGAGCTTCTGTCTGCATCCAGTAGAAAATGCATATGTAGGCACCAGGTTTAAGAGCGAAAACCTGGAGTCTTGTCTGTTAGCATTCTCCTTCCCCACAAACCTGAGAGGGAATACATTTGCTCCAGCACACCCGCATGTAGGAAATGTCACATTCCTATTTCTGTAACTTCAGTTAAATCTGCTCTGAGTCCCTGGATGCCTGGCAGGTGGAGAATTCAATCTTGTCGTTACCAGCATTCCTTCCACTTCTCCATGGGCTTATGTAAGAATTCTGGGCTTACACACTGTTGGAAAGCCAGGTAGGAACTACATCCCCCGAACTCTCCGTTCTTCCAGCTGCTCATGATCCATCAGCCTTTTTTGGGCTATCTTGCTATAACAAGACCCTCCTCACAGCATCATTCCACTGACCCACAGGCTCAGCCCCAGGGACCCACACTATAACAGGTCTCCACTATGCCTAGGAACTCACAAAAACCTTCTCTTCATCTTGGCTTCCTCTGATATCCAGCCACTCCCCCGCTTCTCACCTTAAACACAGATGGCAGCTCCTTCCCATCATTCTAAACCTTGGGGATTGTCCAGCCAAATTCTCTTCAGACACCAAAGCTTCACCCGCCCTCTTCAGGGAGATGATGCAAGGGCATCTGAGATCTTTGGAAGCCCAATTCTGGCCTCTCTTTGGGGTGGGCTGAGATTGGGAACTGGACTCTCTTTTCCAAGTGCCATGTTTATCTTATTCATCATAATATTATCTCCAATGCCTGGTACATAGTAGGCACTACAGACTGACACATAGTAGGTGCTATTAGTGTCTGTATAATGGGACTCTTGAGGTTGAAGCTATTAGCAGAAACCTGCCAAGCAAAAGGATGGAAAACCGACCACCAAAAAAAAAAAAAAAAAAAAAAAAAAATGAAAACAATCGTGGCTTTGAGCTCTAAACACACAAGGCACCAGCCCAAGTTTGGGCAATTTTAATACAACAGCCATTTTGCCTCCAAACAAACTGGCACTGGAAACCTCCCTCTGCCTCTTAAAGAGAACCAGTTTCTGTTTCTCTAAGTGGGCAGCATTTCTCCCCAGTGGCAGTACCCAGCCCACTGCCACCAGCAAAGGACTGCAGCCAGGAGCCAAGAGCTTGATAGTTTAAAGAATATATTTTATAGGGAAAAACAAAGTAACATCCACATAAATCTGGAACTACCACCACTTTCCAGAGGCCGAATCCCATTTGTGGAGTCTCTTGCATCTCAAGCACCTTGCAGTCAGCTCAACTACATACTTTTGGGATTCATTGCAGAGAAGAGTGAAGGTTATCTGCAAAATAAAGGAACCAGGGCTCAGAATTCCCAGAGCAATACATGACAGGGGAGGTGAGTAGAAAAGGGAAGGGTGAAGCCAAAGGAGAGAAGTCAATGAGTTGGCCAACACCAAGCAAGGATCATGGGACCCTCTCTATGGCCCCACATCTCAAATGAAGTCAACAAAACCCATCAATGCTTGGTGTAAGTGTTGTATGCTCCCGGAAATGAAAGCAGGGGCCACATTTCAGGTCAGTAGGGTTGGGGGTAGAGGCAGCAGTCATGGACTTGTGGGCCTTGGAGGATGGGATGATTCTGAGACATTGAATCCCTACACTGATCTCAGTAGAAATCTCAGGTAGGGCTTCAACATTCATGGACCAAGGACTCTGCAGGCCTGAGAGCAACAGCCTTGGTGCATGTCCCAGCTCCATCAATCTCAACTGGGGCTTTGAACAAGTTACTTATTTTTTTAACTAACGTTATTTTAATTGACAAATCATAATTGTACACATTTATGTGATGTTTTGATATGTGTATACAATGCGGGATGATTAGATCAAACTAATTAATATGTAGATCCCCTAATTTACTGACAATTTTTATGATGAGACATTTGAAATGTACCCTCTTAGTTATTTTGAAAGATACATTATTATTGACTATAGTCACGCTGCTGTGCTATAGATTTCAAAGCATATAATCCAACAACCCAACTTCTGGGTATAGACAAAAAAAATCGAAATCAATATGTCGAAGGGATCTCTACGTTCCTATGTTCACTGCAGCACTATTCACAATACCCAAGATGTAGAATCAACCTAAGTGTCCATCAATGGATGAAAGGATAAAGAAAATGTACTATATACACACAATGGAATACTATTAACCCTTAAAAAAGAAAGAAATCCTGTCATTTTCAACAACATAGTGAACTTGAAAGACATTCTGTTAAGTGAAATAAGCCAGGCACAGAAAGACAAATACTGCATGATTTTACTTATATGTGGAATCTAAAGAAGTTGAACTCACAGAAATAGAGAGTAGGACAGTGGTTATCAGGGGCTGGGGTGGAGGAAAGGTAGGGGATAGGAGACACTGGTCAAAGGGTACAAAGTTTCCAATAGGAAGAGTAAGTTTTGAACAAGCTAAACTCCTCTGAAAGCTCAGTTGCTCATCTGTAGAGCAGGGACACATCATTAACCTTCTAAGGATGTTGCTGTGAGAGTAAGAGATGATGTTCAGCACAATACCTAATGCACAGTCAGGTCTCCTTAAGCTTGAACCTGCATCGCCATGACCTCTACATCTCAGGACAGAAAGGCTCACAGCCAGTGTCTCAGTTCCCAGTGAAAAGTGGATCCCAGACCAGGCTGAACAGTAGGATCCCTAGGGGATACCCCACCCTACTGAGTCAGAATCACCAGAGGTAGAGCCTGGGTATGTATGTACGTGTGTGTGTGTGTATGTATATATATATATGTATGTATATATGTATGTATAAGAGACAGGGTCTTGCTCTGCAGTCCAGGCTGGAGTGCAGTGTCACAATCATAGTTCACTGCAGCCTCAAATTACTCCTGGCCTCAAGCTATCCTCCCACCTCAGCCTTCAGAGTAGCTGAGACTACAGGCGCATGCCACCAAGCCTGGATACTTTTTTTTTCTTCTTTCTTTTTGGAGAGAGTCTCACTCTGTTGCCCAGACTGGAGTGCAATGGTGCAATCTTGGCTCACTGCAATCTCTGTCTCCCAGGTTCAAGTGATTCTCATGCCTCAGCCTCCTGAGTAGCTAGGATTACAGGCATGCACCACCACACCAGGCTAATTTTGCTTTTTTCATTGTTGTTTCTTGTTTGTTTTTCACAAATAGGACTTCTTCTTTGCCACTGTTTTAAGTCTGAACTTTAAACGATTCTTGAACTGGTGGTTCATATCCATCAGCTCATTCAACTTTAGCATGTGTCTTGTCCCTAGTGGGTTTTCCAGAACTACTACCGTCACCACGAAGCTCCATGCCTTTCAAACCCAGGGTTCTCCAGCATTTTTACTTTTCTAATGAAGACATCATGGAGAGGATAAATTGGCAAGCCTTTTCTACATCTTTTCCAATGTTGTCTGGAATCAATTTATTGACCACTTCTTTCAAGTCATTTGTCTGCACCTCTCAAGTCATGATTTCCATCATATTCTTCTGGATTTGGCGGACTGTTAGTGCTGAGCATAAGACGTCTTCAGTATCTGATTGTTGTGTTTTTTAGTAAAACCAACACAAAACAGATGAAAGAAGTAACCATCGGTAGTCTTGACATCAACATGAGCTTCAATCATTGTTGAACAGTTTTCAAACATGGAACATATTTTGTCACAGGAAAGACCCATGCCATAGAAGTTAGTCAGGCAGTTTTTGCCCTGAACATCTTCAGTAATCAGCTTGAGTTTTCTAAATGCAACTTCATCATTCTGCACATCAGCAAGACTCACTTCAAACACAAGACCCTTGAGACCATCAGATGCAATTTGGGTTCCTTGGGTCCTGGTGACCAAGTCTTTCCAATATTTCCTATATTGAACATAGCAGGTGCTTTCACATCATACTGATCTTTCTTAGAAAATGGATCAATTATTTTCTTCTTAACTCCCTTTTTGCCACCTTTCATAAGGCACTTGTTCTTAACAACTGCCATGGTGCTGCTCAGAGTACCAAAAGGCTAAATTTTATATTTTTGGTAGAGACGGGGTTTCACCATGTTGGCCAAGCTGGTCTTGAACTCCTGATGTCAGGTGATCTGCCCGCCTCAACCTCCCAAAGTGCTGGGATTACAGGTGTGAGCCACTGCACCCAGCTGATATTTATTTTTTCTTTTTTTGTACAGACAGGGTCTTGCCATGTTGCCAAGGCTGGCCTGGAACTCCTGGCCTCAAGCAATCCTCCCACCACAGCCTCCCAAAGCACTGGGAATTCAGGTGTGAGCCACCATGCCCAGCCTGGAATCTATTTTTAAAGCCAATTAAGTGTTGAATAAAATTGCAACTTGGGCTGTTTTTTCTTTGCATTTTTTACATTTCAATGGTTTTTAATATATTCAGAGATATACACAAACATTACCAGTCAATTTTAGAACATTTCATGACCTCAAAAAGAAATCTCATACTCTTTAGCTAACACCCCCTATCCTCCCATGCCCCTACCAGCCCTAAGCAACCACTAATCGACTTCCTATTTCTATAGATTTCCATCTGAATGAAATCATGTAGAATGTGATCTTTCAGCTGTTTGAAGGTTCATCCACGCTGTAGCGTATGTAGTTTCCTCCTTTTTGTGATCAAATAATATTCCACCATGTGGGTAGACAACAATCGGTGTATCTCTTCATCTGGTGATGGGCATTTGGATTTTAGCAAAGTCCATTTAGAAAGCTCAATGCTTTGGGCTTCCACTTGCTTTGCTGCCTCTCTCCTCAGAAGGAGGCTTCATCCTTCCATGTAACCAGCAAATCCTTTATGCAGAGATGTACACAACACACTCCTCTCCTTGGCTATGACACCTTGAAAGGCTCCTCTTGGTGGCCCCTGGTGCTCATTTCAGAGTAGTTCTAATTAAGGTGATCAGCTTTCATGCCAATCACTCTACAAATCACTCTTATTATGACCAATTTTTCTAAATGCTTTATTGAATTATTACTTAAAGAAATGTGCACATAGAAGAAGTCAACACAGTACTTTTCTTACAAACTGAACATATTGCCCAGGCGCAGTGGCTCATGCCTGTCATCCCAGCACTTTGGGAAGCCGAGGTGAGCAGATTGCTTGAGCCCAGGAGCTCGAGACCAGCCTGGGCAACATAATGAGACCCCCTCTCTACAAAAAATAAATAAATACAAAAATTAGGCAACAGTGATGGCACATGACTGTAGTTCCAGCTACTCAGGAGGGCTGAGGTGGGAGGGCTGCTTGATCCCAGGAGGCAGAGGCTGCAGTGAGCCATGACGGTGCCACTTGCTCCACCCTGGGTGACAGAGCAAGATCCTGCCTCAAAACAACAACAACAACAAAACCTGAACATCTCCATATTTCCGACACTCAATTCAAGAAACAAAATATTAGAGCCCCTTCCAGGATATTCCTGGGGTCTCTTCCATCTCTACTAACCCCTGACTACAAACAGCCTCCACCTATTTCACCTGACATTGTACTTTATGAAAGCAGCAGTTCTCAGATGGGGCTATTTTGCCCCCTGGGGACATTAGGCAATATCTGGGGACAATGCGGTTTGTCTCTACTTGGGGGGGGTTGTGTTACTGCATCCAGTGAGTCCAGGGATCCAGGGATGCCGTTCAACATCCTAAAATGCACAGGGAACCCCCACACATAGAACAGAGAAATTGCTGAGCCAAAATGTCAGCAGTGTCACAGCTGACACGCTGACATACACACAATCACACAGTATCTGCTCTTTCGTGCTCAGGATCTCTTTCATTCTAATCATCTCATAGGAAACAGAAATGTCATTTGGAGGTAGGTAGAGTCCAAAACAAAGAAGATCCAGAGTTTTTTTTTTAATCAGCCTGGTGCCTTTAGAGCTAGGATTTATTTTCCATTCTTTCTGTCTCATTTTCAAGTGATTTTTCTTCAAATGGCATCTGCTGGGCTCAACACCCAGAGATCCCCACAAAGCTGAGATTCACATGGGAATTTTGTACACACCCACACAGGTATACACTGCCATTTACATGCAGACATCCACCCACAGATACACACATCCGGAGACCAAGACAGAAAGCAAACTCCAGCATAAAAGCATGGTTCCCCGAACAGGAGAAATGCACCATTCACTCCAGGGAGGTACCTATTTGTTTAATTCAGCCTCTGATAGTCAGGCTGTTGCCAAGCCCAGCTCTGAAAGTCTTCCCCTCTAGGAAAGAGAGATGGATTTTTTCTTTACTCAATAATATAGATCTAAAAAAAACAAACACTTCTGCATCTCAAAGCAGGCTCTACCTCCTGAGCTACACATATTGATCAGCATTTTATTGTCAATTTTCTTTTATTTGAACTGGAGAAAAATATAACCTAATTATGTTCTTACTGACACTTTGGAATCAGTTACACTAAATCCAATTCTCTGGGTTCTCATGCTTAATGTGTTTAATTTGGGGGACAACAAAGCAAAAGCATTGGTCGTGTTTTAATATAATCAGTACAGGATATATCTAAGGGGTTCAAGTATCACTGTAGCAAGAAGCTCATTCTGCAGTAAAAGGGGGATTCTGCCACTAGGATTGAGTTAGGGTGGTTCATGGCTGCACCATTTCATCAATGTCTCTTCAAGGGTCCATGGAATGTGGAATGGGAAAGACTGAAATATTCCAAGTCTTGGCTAAGCTTTTCTTAAGGGGTGTTAGGAGCTGATAAAATAACCTGGTCTTTATAGACATCCCACACTGTAGTTCTCTAAGCTACAGATTCTCAGATTTTTCTATTTTATAAACCAGTAAAAATATTTTTTTAATTTGAGAACCAACATAAGGTTGCAATTTTTTTTTCTTTTTGGTAAGAAGGAAATTTTTTAAACTACCAGTTTCACACACACACACACACAGAAATTCCAACATGATTGGTCAGAATAGGTGAGGTTTTGCTGCAATAACAAACAACTCCTAAATCTTGGTAACTTCAAACATCAGAAGTTGTTTTTCTCACTCATGCTACATCTGCAGGGAGGTATGGGATGCTCTGTTTTCCATCAAACCTGCCCTAAGACTAAGGCTAATGGGGGTTGCATTACCTCGAGTATCACCAAGCAGGGAACAGAGGGAGAAGAATGCTAGAGAGTCTTGTACTAAGAATTAAATGACCCAGGCTAGAAGTCTCACACTGCACCTCTGCCCCCAGCCTCTTGGCCAGTGCTAGCCACATCCCCTCCCCCACCACAGGGCAATGCATGAAGACAGGAGAATTGGATACATTACAAATTTCTACCCCATGGCATTTCATAAAAGAGAAAAAATGCAAATACAAAAATGTTTTAATAGAATAGAATATATACATTTTTAGAATACAGAACAATCCTCCAAAAAGGACAGCTGGTGGTCTTTCACCAATGGACACATTTCTGTGACATTTTCTCTGTTTTTCCATTTTATACTTGACCTATGAACATTTTGTACAGATGGTCCAAAGAACACCATTTGGGGACCACTGCTCTAATCAGGTGATGAAAACGGCCCCAAGAACAGAGCACAGTCTCTTTAGCAAAGACCCAGCAGGGCCAGGGTGACCATACTCTCACCATCAATGTGCAGATATCCACCTGCAGCATCCTCACATCCCATCAAACAGTGGCTCTTTATAGCTTGATTCTGATGTCCTTTGATCTTCATAATCATTGTAAAGCTCTCTGGCCCCAAGATCTAACATCGCCACTCTAGCTACATCCTGCAACTGTTCACCACTCCTGCCTCCTCATCCCTCTAGACTTCTCTTCACAACCTCATGTTTCCTTCTTGCTTTACTTTCCTGCTCAGCCTGGACCTTACAGTCACCTTCCTGTAATGTGCTCCTAAACTCTTTCTTCCCTGCTTTCAACCACACCCACCTGGAAAATTTCCATACCCCACTGATGACTTGCCTTGCAACTGCCCAAGGGCTGCTGAATGATACTGGAAAGAATCACAACATGGATCTGGTAGTTCCACTAAATAATCTCACCATCCAACTCTAGGGTAGACTTCACTTCTGTTCAGCAATATTTTTAAGCATTACAAATAAATTCCGAACCATATTTGCTATAACAATTGACTTTAAACCTCTTCCATATCTCAAAGTCCCCCAAACCCATCCCTAGGGGTTTCAGGGCCCAGAGTTGAGTTCTCTCAACTCACTTCCATCTCACCCCTAGATCACTGTATCTTGACCCTCTTCCTCTGCCTTTCCCATCTTATAAGGAGAAGCATCCTTCTCCTTTCCCAAGCTACCTTCTCCACTTGTGCCTCATTTGAGACCTCCCTTTATCACCCGTTTCCTTGGAACTCCCATGACTCACCACCTTCACTTGTCATTTCACTCATAAATATTTTGCACCATGTATGTGCCAGGCGTTTAACATATAATCATGCTAAAGTCTCCACATGCTAACAAGAAAAACCTTGATTATCCCTGCTATGCCCTCAAGTCATTACCCTCCCCGCTCCTTTCCTGTGTTCCCAAACTTTGTTGATCTTCATCAATCCCTCTGATGCAGATGGCTCTGAAGTTTGCACCCTATTAGGTTGGTGCAAAAGTAATTGCGGATTTTGCCATTAAAAGTAATGGCAAAAATAGCAATTATTTTTGTACCAGCCTAGTATCTTTTCTCCTTCTACCAAACTTTGTCCCTGAGCCATCTCATCACCTATAACTACCTCCTCCATGCAGTTGATTCCCAGATCTGTATTATTCTACTGAAAATCCATTCCCCAACTTTCTTGGCTAGAATAACAGAAGCCCAGTTAGAATTCATGATACCAGTTTCCCACCACCACCACCGTCGCCCTGCCATTGTTAGCAAAACCATCTCTTGAGTGGAGCTCAAAGATTTGTAATCCCCCACTCCCCAGAAAGATAACTTCAGACTCAGCCTAGAAGTAAAGATCCTCCAGATATGGCCTCAACTACCCTCCAACCCATGTCCCCAGTGCATCCCTTTGATGCCCACTTCGGTGGAGTTAAAACGGAGTGAGTGTTTTTCTTTTCACATACTCCTGGTGTTCTTCCACAAATACAATTTTCACCTCTTGAATATTTTCAAGGATTCTCTATGCTACACACAGTGAAATCCAAACTCCCCATCAGGACCCCAGTCTTCCCAAATGCTCTTTGCACTTTTCCACCTCCATGCTTTTCCTTGGATCATCCTCTTCTCTAATATAACCTTGTGTATTACTCTAGGTTCTCCAGAGAAAGAGCAGAGAGATAGAGGTAGAGCTATACACATAGAGAGAGACAGATTGTTTTGTTGTAAGGGATGGCTCACATGGTTATGGAGGCTAAGGAGTCCTGGAGTCTGCAGCCAGCAAGCTGGAGACCCAGGACAGCCAATGATATAGTTCCAACTCGAGTCCACATCTAAAGTCAGGAGAAGATTGATGTCCCAGCTCAAATATAATCAGGTAAAAAGAGCAAATTCTCTGTGACTCTACCTTTTTGTTTTGTTCAGGTCTTCAGTGGATTGGATGAGGCTCACCCATATTGGGGAGGACAATCTGCTTTATTCAGTCTACCAATTAAACATTATCCTCATCCAGAATACCTCAGAGACACACCCAGAATAGTGTGTAGCCAAATATCTAGGCACCCCACAACCCAGTCAAATTGATACATAACACTAACCATCATGTCTTGCTTCTACTCTCTCCCCATTACTGCATGTCCAAATCCTTCCCTTATTTCAAGGCTTAGTTCAAATGTTACCTCTTAACTAAGCCTTCCCTGCAAACCCCAAATATTAATAGAATTGGTTTCTCCCTTCTCTGATATCTCAAAATACGTTGTGTGTTTCTCTTTTACTGTATTTATTACAAACTCCCTTATAAATCAAGACAATGATTCCCAGACAAATTATCAGAAGAGTATAAAAGAAGTCTTCTTTGAGTGTGAAATATCTCATGGAATATAGCACATGGCCTCTTCACGAAGAAACTACTAGAAGAGAAGAAGACAAGCTGGAAGAGGCCAGGGAAAGGGGGTTAGTACAAAACACAATGAGGCTGGGCTCATACAGTGGCTCACCTGTAATCCCAGCACTTTGGGAGGCCAAGGCCGGCAGATCACGAGGTCAGGAGATCGAGACCATCCTGGCTAACATAGTGAAACCCCGTCTGTACTAAAAATACAAAAAAGTTAGCCAGGCATGGAGGCAGGCACCTGTAGTCCCATGTACTCGGGAGGCTGAGGCAGGAAAATGCTGTGAACCCGGGAGGCAGAGTTTGCAGTGAGCCGAGATTGCACCACTGCACTCAAGCCTGGGTGATAGAGCAAGACTCCATCTCAAAAAAAAAAGAAACACAATGAAATGTCAGTGGATGGGTGCCTATAATTTCTAAGGGAAATAGAGTATAATCCAAGAATTTTATAGCCAGGTAAATTATTGCCCAATCAAAATAGGCAAAAGACACTATCACATGTTCAAGAACTTAAAGAATACAGTATTTCTGAGCTCTTTAAAAAAAAAAAGTCTTCATAATAAAATTTAGTCAGCCAAGAAATTACAAAATAAGCAACTTGTGAATTGAATGACCATGACAAAAGGCTAGTGATGAGAGGTGAATCCATTTAAAAATAGGACTACTATTGCAGAACAGAAAGAAAAGGTGGTCAACCTTAACAACATAAAACAACCTAGAAATAACTAGTTTCCAGAGGTAAAGGGAGGGACTGTAGGAAGTAGAAGTGCTAATGCCCTTTATTAAGCCAATTAATCAGGTCTAAAATTGAAACGTGGTTTCAAATATATAACTTCTTTTTTATTTTCCTCCCTAACTACCTGAGGATCAACCACCATGATGAATGACACAGTAACTATCGGGACCAGGAAGTTCGTGACCAATCGACTGCTACAGAGGAAACAAATGGTCATCAATGTCCTTCACCCCAGGAAGGCAACAAAATGTACAAGACCACAATGGGTGTCATCTTAATAGTCGGACTCAGAACCCATTTTGGTGGTGGTTAAACAATGGGTTTTGGCATGTTATCTGGTTCTTTGAATTATGCAAAGAAAAATGAACTCAAACATAGACTTGCAAGACACGGCTGGCATGAGAAGAAGATGACCTCAAAAAAACAGCAAAAGGAATGCAAGGGCAGAATGAAGTCAAGAGACTGCAAAGGCCAATGTCAGTGCTGGCAAAAAGCAAAAGGAGTAAAGATTTTGCAATGACTTTATTTGCAGTGACTGTACAAATTTTTCATGAGATGATCAGTCAACTGTAAAGACTTCTACATATATATAATACATCTTAATATTTTTCATCATCTTTGATTTCTTAGATGTTCTAGAAACTGATTTTTAGTGAGGAAAAACTACATTTATCTGAGTTGACCAGTTCGTTCAGTTTCACTTCCATTTCTTTTTCTTCTGATAAATTTACACAGCATTCAATTTGCTACTTCTTGTTTTTAAAATCTCATTTTGTGTGATCAGAAGTATCTGTTCATGTCTCTAGCCATCTTTGTGCATAGCAAGGAATGCTGTTCACTTAATATTATGGAGGTTTATTTCTTGGGGTCATGAGATTTGGGGTGATTTCTCTCCCTTTTTGTACTTTTCGGTATTAATTTTTTGAGACAATGTCACCAATGTCCTTCATATTAATATTTGGACTCAGAATCCCTTTTGGTGGTGGTTAAACAATCATCACCCACATTGGAGTGCAGTGGTACGATCTCAGCTCACCAAACCTCTGCTTCCCAGGCTTAAGCGATTCTTCTGCCTCAGCCTCCCCCGTAGCTGGGATTACAGGAACGCACCACCACTGCCTGGCTAATTTTTATATTTTTAGTAGAGATGGGGTTTCACCTTTTGGCCAGGCTGGTCTTGAACTCCTGACCTCAAATGATCCACCCGCCTTGGCCTCCCAAAGTGCTAGGATTACAGGCATGAGCCACTATGCCCAGCCTTTTCTGTATTAAATTTTTTAAAACACAACATTTAAAATAATCAAGTCATTCTTTTTGAATCTACTTTGTATTATAGGTATCCAAATACTCACCTATTCTCTCTCACATGATGACAAACTTGTTGAAATGTCATTTCATTTTGTGGCTCCAGCCCCAGGGATTCTGACTCTGATTCTAAAGGGTCTGCATGCAGAGCGAGCAAGCTGCCTGGATGATTCTCTTGCAGGTGTTTTAAGGGCAGGAGTTTGAGACACCCTGATGCAAAAGAACGAACCCTCAAGGAAGTTGGCTGTACATGTATTTTCCTTCCTAGCACAGGAAATGACAGAGAGATTATCCAATCAGTACCACTCATAGCACCTGATTATACGTGCATGAGGAATTCAGAAATGGTTTGATCAAGGTTGAAGACCTAAAAAGAGGCTTTTCTCTTGGACACCAAGTCCCCATCTCATGCGTGGTTGAGTTAGTAGAAACTGAGGATGATGCTTCTTCCTCCAGCATTGGTATCCCATGGTTTTTGTTCAGTTGATGAAGTACCTCCATCCCCCAACACCCCCAAGCTCAATCCCAGTTTCCTCACATACACTTTTTTTTTTTTTTTTTTTTTTTGAGACAGAGTCTTGCTCTGTCACCCAGGCTGGAATGCAGTGCAGTGGTGCAACCTCAGCTCACTGCAACCTCCATCTCCCAGGTTCAAGTGATTCTCCTGCCTCAGCCTCCTGAGTAGCTGGGATTACAGACATGCACCATCATGCCTGGCGAATTTTTGTATTTTTAGCAGAGATGAGGTTTTATCATGTCGTCCAGGCTTGTCTCAAACTCTCGGCCTCAAGTGATCCACCCACCTCAGCCTCCCAAGTGCTAAGATTACAGGTGTGAGCCACCGTGCCCAGCCTCCTCGCTTACACTTTTACAGAAGATCTGATCATACCCACTCCGCAGAAGTCAGAATGGCCCCCACGTGGTGTTGAACGGGAGTGAAAATTTGAGTTCCATCAACTGACGGTGACACAGAAACATTTCCCCCAAGATGCTTTTGGCAGCTCTGCTGATCCATAACCTGGCTCCATTTCAGGGCAAGAACTCCACTTAAGCTGCACTGGCTTCCACTAGAGTAAATCACATTAACTCATGGAAAACACAACTGAAGGGCAAAAAGATTCTTTTTAAAATGATTTTTGTCTCTCACTTACCAACACACGCTGGCCTCCCTATTGCCTGACTCCATTCAACACCTGTTCCACTGAGCACCCACTGAAAGCTCAGCTCATGAGCTGAGATGACCCAGACATCAAGGAGTTTACAATCCAGGGGAAGAACAGACCTGAATACAAGTGATGACAATACAAGATGGAGTCAAAGAGCCCAACTTGAAGTTTCAGCAGAATAGCACCAAAGACTAGTTCCCAACCCAGCTCCCAGAGCCAGAGCCAGAGCCAGAGCCAGGCTGGCTGCATGAGATCAGCTGGGAGCTTTTGCAAACGTAGGTCCTAGCTGAGCCCCTAATCATCACACTGGGAGTCACTGGGAGTGAGCTCCAGGAACTGGTTTATTTAATAAGCACCCACACACACATGATTCTGATGTTCCTAAGGGTTGTAGAAACATGGAACTATAGAAAACACTAAAAAAAAAAAGGCACTAAAAGAAACCTATAAATATTCACTACCATCCCAGGCATCATGAGGACTCTCCAAGTGCACTATTTACAATACTTAGAATAACCTGGAAGGGAAGCATTCATTCATGACGATGGGCTTTATCGGGATCAGAGCCAGCCCTGGGAATGCTTCAACCTGTGCTGAAGGTCACCCCCTCCTCCCCACAGGAGGGGGCTAACATTAAGGAGCAGGGCCCAGATGGGAAATGGAGTGTCCTTTTATTATGAGACCACAGTGAGAGACTTTTTTTTTTTCCACAGTGTCATTCTTGCCACCCAGGCTGGTGTGCAGTGGTGCAATCTCAGCTCACTGCAACTTCCGCCTCCTGGGTTCAAGCGATTCTCCTGCCTCAACCTCCTGAGTAGCTGCAACTATAGGCGCCCGCCACCATGCCTGGCTCATTTTTGTATTTTTAATAGAGACAGGGTTTCACTATGTTGGTCAGGATGGTCTTGATCTCTTGACCTCATGATCCACCTACCTTGGCTTCCCAAAGTGCTAGGATTACAGGTGTGAGCCACCACGCCTAGCCTGAGACTTTCAAGTAAAGCCACAATGGACCACAGAGCTTAGACATCAGGGCTAACATGGAATCTCTGTCATTAAATCTTGAGCTCTTATTATCTTTGCTCAAAAAAAAAATAATCACAATTGACATTTTGAGGACAAGACATCTGAATGTAAACTTGATCTTAGAGGATATTAAGGAATTACTGGTGATTTGATTAGGTATGACAATGATCATATAAAGAATGCCCTCATGTTTTTAGAGGGAAAGTAAATTATGTAGGGGTGAATATCATGATGCAATTACATAACTATTGTAAACAATTTTTTAAATACTTCAGAAAAAATGGAGTAAATATTGCACACTTTAATAGTTTTTAAACCTATGTGATGGGTATATGGTAGCTCATTAAACTAGTCTCTCTACTTTTATGTATATTGAAAATTTTTCATAATAATAATAATAATAAAAACCTTGGCCAGGCACAGCAGCTCATGCCTGTAATTCCGGCACTTTGGGAGGCCGAGGTGGATGGAGGACTGCTTGAGCCCAGGAGTTTGAGACCAGCCTAGACAACATGGTGAAACCTCATCTCTACAAAAAATAGACAAATTAGTCAGGCATGGTGGTGTGCACCTGCAGTCCCAGCTACTCAGGAGGCTGAGGTGGGAGTATCACCTGAGCCCAGAAGGTCAAGGCTGCAGTGAGCCAAGGTCATGCCACTGCACTCCAGCCTGGGCGACAGACCCTGTCTCAAACAAACAAGCAAACCAAAACCCTCTTGATCCCATTTCCCAAAAAAATGATTTTGAGATCTTACCATCTCCTGGCTTGGTGCGGAGTACAGGAAATCAAGACAAAGTACAGCACACAAGGAATAAGGAGGGAGGGAAGCGTGGGGGAGGCTGACACTGTGGACTCTCCCAGCTCAGTCGACCCATGCACCTTGCTTCATGGAAGAAAGGAATGGAAGATGAATCATGCCTTTCACACACAGTGACCTTCCTCACTAGTAAATGTGCCTCCAGAAGTGTCCAAGAACTCAGTGCCAGAGCCAGGCTGGCTGCATGAGAATCACCTGCGAGCTTTTGCAAACATAGGCCCCTACTGGGTCCAGATGTATTCATCTCTTGGAGAGGAGGAGAGAGGCAGAACAAAGAAAAGGATGGGAAGAAACCAGCCCTGTGCACAGGAGGATCCTGGGATTCCTCCTGCACGTTTAGTGCAATGCAGCCTATTTTACAAGGTCACAGAAGCTCAGAGAGGTAAACCTGCCCAGGTTCTCATAGTTTGTAACTGGCAAAACCTGCCCAAATCTCTGTCTAGAGATATTTCCACTTGCTTCAACTCTGGAGCTGTCTTAGTTGTAAAGATGAGAGATTCCACTCATCATTCACTTTTGTTTGCAGATATTGCCTAAGGTACCTTGTGAATATTTAGGTCAGGGCTGTTTTTTTGAGTTTTTTGTTTGTTTGTTTCTTGGTTTTTTTACAAAGCAATCTTGTGGATAGAACCCAAAGTGGCTCCGCCATTTAAGACCCTGTAAACAGGGAGACCAGAGTCTGGAGTCCTGGTCTGGTTTCCACACCTTCCTTAGATTTCCCTGTGTGTAAAATCCAACAACAATCTTTGACAAATTGCCTCCCCTACGGGAGAGATGGAGGAAGTGTTAACTTCGCTTTTTTTTTTTTTTTTCTGTTTTCAGACAGAGCCTCGCTCTGTCACCCAGGCTGGAGTGCAGTGGCGCCATCTCAGCTCACTGCAACCTCTGCCTCCTGAGCTCAAATGATTCTTGTGCCTCAGCCTCCTGAGCTGCTGGGACTACAGGTAGATGACACCACACCTGGCTAGTATTTGTATTTTTAGTAGAGATGGAATTTCACATATTGGCCAGGCTGGTATTGAACTCCTGGCCTCAAATGATCCGCCCCCCTCAGCCTCTCAAAGTGCTAGGACTACAGGCATGAGCCACCATGCCCAACCACTTTGCTATTTTTTTTTAATAGACAGCTTCGAGGTCCAGCATGAGTTCATAGCTTAGGAAACATCACAGGCAAAGAAGAACACTTTGCATTCAAATAGCAGAATGTTTTCATTTTCAAAGAGCTCTCACCTGCCATCTAATCTTGTCTTCCTAGCAGTCCTGGGAGAGAAGCAGACGTGGTTTCCAATCCCACTTTCCAGAAGAGGAGACTGAGGCAGAGGCTTTGCAGATACACAGAGGACATGTGAGGACAGGTGAAGGTCATGATCATTGTCAGCCCCCTCCCCCAACTTGACATTCCCAGATCTGGTGGACTTCCAGCCAGAGGAGAAAGAAGGATTGGATCACTCAACTCTGCCATGGGTGCCAGGACCAAATTTTTCCCTGGCTAACTCGGTCACATCCTGTCTGGGATCTCCAACTACTACCCATCCCACAAGTCTCAGCTAAAACAGCAATTCAACGAGGAACTTTTTTCTGAGGCTCCAGGATTGGGCCAGGCCCTCTCCATTGCTCTCTGCCCTTCCCCTACTGCAGAACTTAGCACCTGTATGTCACTATTGGTTCAAACATGTGTCTTTCGTATGCTCTCCACGTTATCTGCAGCATCTGCCAAGAATAATAATGGATGGTAAAACCTAATCTCTATTGAGTGTCGATGATGCACTTTTAACGTGACATCTTATTTAATCCTCACTATATCTGCAAGAGTAGAAGCTATTAATAGCCAATTTTCAGATAAGAAAATCAAAGCACAGTTTCTATAACTTACCCAAGCAGCTAGCTAGGAGGCAGCTCAGTTTGAGCCCAGGGAATCATATTCTAGAGACCGTGCTCTCAATTACTAGAGCAGGTACCTCCCCAGAATCTAGCAGGTGGTTAACGAGTCTTTGTGGAATAAATGAACAGAAGGACAAGCAGATGGATGGATACATAGGTGGGTGGGTGGATAGATGGGTGGATGGAAAGATGGGTGGGCGGGCAGGTGGATGAATGAATGGATGGTTGAGTCGGTGAAGGGATGGCTGAGTGGGTGGAGAAATGGATGAGTGGGTGAGGGGGTGGAGGGATAGATAAATGGATGCACAGGTGGGTGGATAGATGGGTAGATGAGTGAATGGGTAGATAGATGCATGGGTGAGTGGATGGATAGATGGGTTGGTGGGTGGGTAGGTGGATGATAGCTGGGTGCATAAAAGAGTGGGTTGGATGGATAGATGGGTGGGTGGTGGGTGGATAGATGGTAAGGTGGGTGGATGGATGTATGCATGTCTGGATGGATGGATGGATGGAATGGTGGATGGATGGATGGACAGATGAACAGATGGACTTGAGCATTTATTCAGGGTCCTCCAAAGAATTGAATGATTTCCTAGGGTGTGTCATCACCTGCAGGTGGGTGGGCAAGGGGGCTTGCCTCTGTAATACTCATGATTATGGGTAGTGCTCAGCCTTAGTCACCACTCTCAGAACACTTTATTGACTAGGAAAGTCAAAACTGGCATTGACAACTAGTGCAAATTACAGCTATAACTAACAGAAGATGTTGAGTGATGACAGCTGGGCAACCAATAATCAATAACTTGGCTGTGTCATGTTGCTGCCATGCTGGACAGGTAGAGCCACGGGTTCCTTGATCCTTCCATCACATTGAGGATGCTTATCAAGACTTCCCCAACCATGGAGACAGGGATCTTATCAAATTCTTGCAGTTCACCCCAAAAGGCTCACCCTCTTCGTTCCACCTGCACATGACCTTCAGCTCAAAGACATTTCCAGTCCCCCAGGTCAGCCCTTCTTCCAGCCTTTGAATTAACCCTGATGTCTGCCTGCTCATTAGGTATCTTCACCTTTCATCACACAGCCTTTTCCAAGGCTTTCCTTCAGTCCAGCCCTCACTAAACGCTGGAACTGTTGTTGACAAAATCCAGAACAAGCTGGCTGGGGGATACAGGTGGGAAGCAGGCTGTAGTAATGGGGAAAAATTCTAAGCAATCTCAAACACAGAAAAGAAACTGAACAGGTAAGAGAGAGGCAGACAAGAGGAGAAGTGTGAATTTTGCATAACTGAAGCTGAAGAAGAGCGGGGGGCATGGCAGACCACAAGGTAAATATGATATAGACTCCTTTTTAAAAAAATATAAACACCCACCCTTTCCTACAGACAACTGTGCTTCAAATATTGCTAAGGTCTTTACTAAAGGTGAGTCAGAAAAACTGAGTATTTTATGCAATACAGTAAGAAGGCCCATAGGCAAGCATGTTCCTGACACCACCTTCTAGGATAACCCCTGGGATTCTGGTTACACCTGTCCTAAAGTTGTCTCTCACTCCTGCTGTTGGAGAGCTACCATGAGAGAAGAACCATAGTGAAGTGGTTAAGAGTGTGCACCCAGCGACCAGCCAGATCGCTTCAAACCATCACTATCTAATACCGAGCAAGTTACACAATGTTCTTGAGCCTCAACTTTCTCATCTGTAAAATGGGTATGCCGTCATTCATTAATCAAATTCTAGGTAAGCATATACTAAACACCAGAGACACAAATGAGAATCAGGAACAGGCATGGCCCTGGCCCTCACGGTGACCACAGTCTTGAAGGGGAAGGATGACACGCACAGAAACAGGAAGCCGTAGCTGAGCTAGTGTCTACCACAGAGAGGCACCTGGTGTCATGAAAGCAGATAACAGGGGGTTGCTGTGACTGAGTCAGTGTGGCCAGACGTCCCTGAGGATGTAGTGACTCCACTGTCAGATGAGACCGTGACCAGGTGAAGAGGCAGGGAGAGGGAAAATCTTTCCAGGCAGAAAGAGCAGGATGTGCAAAGGCCCTGCGGCAGGAAAAGAGCAAAGGAAGTGCAAGAGCCTGAAAATGGCCAGAGAGAACAAGTGAACATGTGGATAATCACAGCACCGACCTCATACAGGACTGCTCAGGATACCCAGGACAGAGTCCTAGATGCTTGAAGTCATGATAAGTATCCAGAATGACACAGAATTCCAGCCAGGCATGGTGGCTCATGCCTGTAATCCCAGCACTTTGGTAGGCCGAGGTGGATCACCTGAGGTCAGGAGTTCGAGACCAGCCTGGCCAACATGGTGAAACTCCCTCTCTACTAAAAATACAAAAAAAAAATTAGCCGGGTATGGTTGTGGGTGCCTGTAGTCCCAGCTACTCAGGAGGCTGAGGCAGGAGAATCGCTTGAACCTGGGAGGCAGAGACTGCAGTGAACCGAGATTGCACCATTGCACTCCAGCCTGGGCAACAAAAGTGAAACTCCGTCTCAAAAAAGAAAGAAAGAAAAAATAATGACACAGAGTTTGCTAAAGGGGGAGAAAAGGCTTTCTTCCAAAGCTGGGCCTGGTTTCTACAGAGAGTCTTTCAGATGAAAATTAAGCAACTCTTTGCAAGCAGCTCTTTGCAAGCACCTCAGAGGAGAACCCCTCACCCTGATGAATCAGGCACACAGATGGATCCAAGACAATTGGCTGCGTGCATGTGAACAAGCCCATGGTGGAAATGCAGTGCTTTATTTGTTTGGGGTGGTTTAATCACCAGGAGGGTGAAGCTTCTAAAGCAGCATTCAGAAGTGGCTGTTGACTGGGTTTTCTGGAAGGGGGAGGTGGTGAGGATGAGGGCTTCCATTTCATCTGCAGGCCCCTTGCAGAAGGAGCTGGGGAAAGCTTTGCAGCCATCTGCACACTGTTTGCCATCTTGTCTGGCTGGGCAGCCGAGCTCCAAATGGGGGCGGATGGGATAGCTCTTGCCACTGTATTTGGAGAGAGATGGCAGGGAAGTCAGCCCCCATGAAGAAGACAGGAGCACACAGGTGCTGGACAGTGCTGTCTAGACCCCTGGGGCTGAAGTGCCCAACCCCACAGCCTCTAGGTGCCACTAAAGGGGCCCAAGGGGATCTTTTCTGTCCATCTCCATCTTGGCACCTACAGACACTTGGAGAGAGTCCTTCACATGGGAACTCACAAATGCACACTGATAACCCCCACACGGAACTCTCATATGTAGCAAGTGAAAAGACAGGATGCCAGTTTAACTTGAATTTCAGACAAACAACAAATCATTTTTAGGGTAAGCAGGTCCCAAATATTTCATGGGATATATTTGCACCAAAAAAAAAAAGTGGTTAATGAGAAATTCAGGTTTAATTGGACTTCCTGTATTTTACCTGGCAAGCCTAACCCTGCATAAACACAACCCCGAGCTTGAAACTCACAGAGAAGCCATGGCTGTGATCACACACGTGCACAAACCCATATGCCTTACAGAGTCAAGGGCTGTGACGAGGGGGTCCCCACCCTTGCACACTTCCCTGTCCTCTGTCTGGGTTCAGAGCAAAGAGGGGGTCAGCTGGCATCCACATCTAAGCTGGGCTTGGAGGTGTCCTAATGAAGCAGGATGCTGACCTGCACTTCCCCAGCTCAGCGGGGGCTGCAGCCAGGCCTAGCTTCCAGTCTCGGGCCTAGAACACACAGCACAGCCCCAGACCTTGGCAAGAAGTCTTCATCTCAAGGGCCACTGTCTCAGGACCTATTAGAAGCCCCACTTCTTTCCTCTGTTTCTGCTGCCATTGCCCCAGTCTCTGACCCTGACACTCAATCACTCTATAAACACGGCAGGTACTAGGGGTGGCTCTGGGCTCGGCACTAAAGACAATGCCCCTGGTAAAGCCACAGTCTACCAATGACAGTCAACCACGTATCAGCAACAGCCCTGCCCCACAGGTGCTGACTGCGCACAAGGCCGGCGCTGTGAACTTGCTCTCAACAGTGATCTCACTGAACCCTCATGGCAGCTCTAGGATGCAGACAGTAGCATCACATTATCCCCATTTTACTTTTGAGGAAACTGAGGCCTGAAAAAGACAAATGCAGGCCTCGAGATTTGCAGTAACATTGCCAGGAATGTTTGAGAAAGCAGACTTCTCCAGAGTGAGGCAGTCTGCCAGAGCTCAGAAGCCAGAGTCCCTGTTAGCAGGGGCTGGGGGGACGGTGGGGTGTGGGCAGACAAGCAGGTAGGGGCTGGACCCCCCAGGACACCAGGGTGCAGACTGGTGTGAGTAAAAGAAAGAGAGGCGGTCATGCCATCATCTGCAGAAGATGATGTCTACAGAGGACAGTACCATGTGAGCCCTTGGGGAGCCGGATGACTGGATGGAATTTTGCACAGGATGCAAATTAAGCACAGATCCGCCTCTGACCTAGACAGCCCACCTCCAGGAACATCTCACAGAAATGCAGGCACAGAGCACCAAGTGGTGTGTGTAAGGAAATTCATCAGAACACCGTCTGTGATTGGGAAAAGGCGGAAACCATCCAAAGACATATAGGTGCAGGGCTGGTTAAACGAAGCATGGTGCATCCACACATCAGAATACCTGCTGGGAGAAGAAGGTAGTACCCAGGTTCCAACGTGAGACAATGTCAAAGACATGCTGCCTGAAAAGCAAGCTTTCCAAAGAATAAATGTAGCATTATTCCATTTTTACTTTTTAAAAAAGGTTACAATAAACACTTACGTGCAAATACATGTGCTTGAGTGCACAGAGGAAAAAGGTGTGGACAGGAACAGAAAACCAAACTCTGCGGGTTCTCACTCATAAGTGGGAGTTGAAAAATGAGAACACATGGACACAGGGAGGGGAACATCACACACCGGGGCCTGTCGGGGGTGAGGGACAAGGGGTGGAAGAGTGTTAGGACAAATACCTAATGCATGCGGGGCTTAAAACCTAGATGACGGGTTGATAGGTGCAGTAAACCACCATGGCACATGTATATCTATGTAACAAACCTGCACATTCAGCACATGTATCTCAGAATGTAGAATAAAAAATAAAAAGAAATCAAAGAAAAAGGTGTGGAGAGGTATACCCCAACCCTTGCCAGTGTTACCTCTGAGAAGCAAGATCAAGAAAAGCAAATCAAGAGGATGTTTTGTTTTTTCTTTTTATATAAATTTTTTTTTTTAAACATAGTCTCGCTCTATTGCCCAGTCTGGAGTCCAGGGACACAATCTCGGCTCACTGCAACCTCCTCCTCACTGCAACCTGCTCCTCACTGCAACCTGCTCCTCACTGCAACCTGCTGCTTCTGGGTTCCAGTGATTCTCTTGCCTCAGCCTCCCAAATAACTAGGATTACAGGTGTGCACCACCAAGCCCGGCTAACTTTTGTATTTTTTGTAGAGACAGGTTTTCACTATTTTGGCCAAGCTGGTCTCGAACTCCTGGCCCACACGCCTTGGTCTCCAAAAGTGCTGGGATTACAGGTGTGAGCCACCATGCCTGGCCTGCATTGCTTGAATTCTCAGACCACATGGACCCTCTCATCTGGTCCAATTGCAAGAGTCCAAGGCAGGAAAGGCAGAAGGCAGGGGCTTACCCCTCCATCAGGACAACTTAGAACAGAGTCGAAAAGAAAAACATGAATGGATCAGTCAAGAGGGCTGTGCCCATGACTTCCCAGGCACCTACACCTTGCAACTTAAGCCGACAAGCTTTCAAGCCAGAGTCTTCCTTCCTAGAGACTAGCAAGGACACAAGCCCTGGCCAGTCCCCTCCAGGAGGATGGTCTGAGGGATAAGGTGGGGGGCACAGTCAGGGGTGGCAGGAGGAAAGGTGGACACGAAGCCAAGGAAACCAGGGCACCCCATGCTTCCTGAAGGCCACCAGAACAGGGCGCCACACAGAGCCCCTGTGTACCTGTTTCTACAACAGCCTGAACACAAGGAAAAGGAAAACAAGGAAAATACACAAAGCCCAGCCTCACCTGGAGCAGGTTAAATAAAGGTGTGTGACTTCATGTCCTTTGGAATTGGAAATCCAAGCTTCCTCTTCTGTGCCTTTAAGGTCCTGGCTGCTGCCCCAAAGCTCCCTTCTCTTCCCTCCTCCTCTTGTCCTGACTTTTTTGAGATGGAATCTTGCTCTGTTGCCCAGGCTAGAGTACAGTGGCACAATCTCAGCTCACTGCAACCTCCACCTTCTGGGTTCAAGCAATTCTCATGTCTCAGCTTCCCGAGTAGCTGGTATTATAGGTGTCACCATGTCCAGCTAATTATTGTATTTTTAGTAGAGACAGGTTTTCGCCATGTTGGCCAGGCTAGTCTCAAACTCCTGGCCTCAGGCGATCCGCCCACCTGGGCCTCTCAAAGTGCTGGGATTACAAGTGTGAGCCACCATGCCTGGCCCTCTTGTCCTAACTCTGCCATCTCTTTGCAGTCTCCCCTGAGCAGCTTTTCCTGGGCTCGCCCTGCCCCCCTCCAGAGCTGCACTCTCAAACCACCCCCCAATGCCCCCTGGCCCTGGCTCCTGCCCCGGGGCTCTGATCCTCAGCTGGTGAGGTCTAGAGGGTCAGAGGGAGCCAGACTCCCTAGAGAAGCTAAGGCAGGAGCCCTGTGCTTAGGCAGGAGCTAAGCTAAGCTAAGGCAGGAGCCCTGTGGGTAACCTGCCCCCTTCCAGCTGGGGCCAAATAGAAGGGGGAAAGGCTGCCCCCAGAATACAGGGCTCTCAGGGGCCCTGGGGATCTGTGCTGGCAGTCAGGAGGACTGTCACCTCAGTGCAGTTGCCTGCAAGGAGGGCTGTGCAGGAAGCTGCATGTTGCTCAGAGAACAAAAAAAAAGGAAATTAAATGCACCATCTGGTTATTGGCAAGAGCCTTTGAGACAGACACTTAAATATGCATGCCTAGACATTATAAAACTTGGGGGAAACGTTAATTTCAATAACGCCACTTCTTGTGCTTGCAGACACCATTCTTTTATCTCCCTTCCTAGTAATTTGGGGGCTCCATCCCTCAGAGTGGCAGCGCCAAGACAGCTGGCCTCACTGGGTTTTGTAAGCTGTGCAAGGTGAGATCCCAAGCCCTTACCTGGAGACCCATCTTAGGAAAATGTTAGAACAGGGCAACAAGTTGCCATTTCCTCCCTCCTTTCTCTTCCCCATACAAAAATCAGAAAGCACACTAGCCCAGTGCCCAGCCACAGTGGTGAGGAAACCCCACTCAAAATCCTGGGTTGTGCCCCTGATACCAAAGACCTGCAAAATTGGGACTCACCTGCTGCAACCCTAGCCCAGACTTGTGTACATTTCAGGGGTGGCTGGACTCACGGCCGCCTGGGACGTCAGGGTGGTACAAAGTCCTCTTAATCTAAGACTGTCGCGGTACAAAGATAAGCATTTTTTTTTCCCTTTTCTTGAGAGCCAGATGGTAAATAGTTCAGCTTTGCAGGCCATAGGTCTCTGTCCCAACTACTCAACTCTCCATTGTAGCAGGAAAGCAGCCACAGACAATATGCACTGAAATGGGTGTGGCTGTGTTCCAATAAAACTTTATATGTGTGAACAGGCAGGGGGCTGGTTGTGGCCTGTGGGCTACAGCCTGCCTCCTCTGCTACAGCGTGATCTCCAAGGACCGATCCATCTTGTAGACCAGCAGCTGGCACACAGGAGCTGCTCAGATACTTGAAGGAGGAATGGAGAAGGCAAGCAGCCCCCAGTGTGCAGACATGAGGGTCTCCCAGCAGCACCATCCTTTGCCATCTCATGCTGAGGGACAAAGCCAGAGCAGGGCTCTCCACCAAGGCTGGATTCTCCTCCAAGGAAATGTGATAAGAGGACAGAAAGCACTGTGGAAGGATAGGGGCTTTGGAGTCCCACAAACCACAGTTTGCAAGACCAGGAGCATCCTACACTTCCTTGCACACATCCTGGGTGGGTGCTGGAGCATCTAGACTTAGAGTGAATCTTTTCCCCCTCCTCCCCCAATTGGCCTCCATTACACTTCCAGCAACAATGTAGTGTACGTACACAATGGAATACTATTCAACCTTCAAAACGAAGGAAATCCTGCCATTTGAGAAAACATGGATGAGCCTGGAGGATATTATGTTAAGTGAAATAAGCCAGGCACAAAACGACAAATACCACATGATCTCACTTATATGTGAAATCTAAAAAAGTTGAACTCGGCCAGGCATGGTGGCTCATGCCTGTAATCCCAGCACTTTGGGAGGCTGAGGCCGGCAGATTGCTTGAGCCCAGGAGTTCGAGACCAGCCTGCATAACATAGCAAGACCCCATCTCTACAAAAAAATACAAAAATTAGTGGATCGTGGTGGTGCATGCCTGTACTCCCAGATACTCAGGAGGCCGAGGTGGGAGGATTGATTGAGCTTGGGAGGTCAAGGCTGCAGTGAGCCAAGATCACACCCCTGTACTACAGCCTGGGCAATAGAGTGAGATTGTCTCAAAAAAAAAAAAAAAGAAAGAAAAAGAAAAGAAAAAAGTTGAATTCACAGAAGCAGAGTAGAACGATGGTTGCCAGGGTGGGGAAGTGGGCAGATGCCAAAGGACAGAGAATGTCATTTTTAGAGAGGAAGAATAAGTTCAGGATATCTATGGGACAACATGGTACCTACAGTTAATAACAACATATCATACACTTGGAAATCACTAAGAGAGTAGATTTTTTAAGTGTTCTCACCATAAAAAAATAAGTCTGGGAGGTGATATGTTATTTAGCTTGATTTAGCCATTTTGTAATGTATACATACTTGAATCACATCATGTTGTACCCTCTTGTACATAATTTTTGTCAATTCAATAAATTCAACAACTCCAAAAAACAAGACATTCTTTTTATAAAATAATTATTAAAAATAAAATTCAGAATTCTATTTTATTTATTTATTTATTTTTGAAAGTCTCGCTCTGTCACCCAGGCTGGCTGACGTGCAGTGGTGCGATCTCGGCTGACTGCAAGCTCTGTCTCCCGGGTTCAAATGATTCTCCTGCCTCAGCCTCCCAAGCAGCTGGGATTACAGGTGTGTGCCATCACACCTGGCTAATTTCTGTATTTTTAGTAGAGACAGTTCCGCCATGTTGGCCAGGCTGGTCTCGAACTCCTGACCTTAGGTGATCCGCCAGCCTCGACCTGCCAAAGTGCTGGGATTACAGGTGTGAACCACTGCGCCTGGACAGAATATAAAAGATTGTTTAATTCAACTAAAACATTAAAACATAGATTATTTCTATAAGTGGTAATTGTTCTAACATGTTTTGGTCAAAATAGTCTCCTTACTCATCCACAATTAAATGGTTAATTGACATTTGATTGGATTTTGATAAAGTTTTCAAATCATGATTGACTTTTCCAATGTACAGTAAAATGTTTGAAAATATTTCATAAAAATTAATATTTAAAAATGGTCAGGCATGGTGGCTCATGCCTATAATCCCAGCACTTTGAGAGGCCAAGGTGGGCCGATCACTTGAGGTCAGGAATTTGAAAGCAGCCTGGCCAAACCTCATCTCCACTAAAAATACAACAGTTAGTCGGGCATGGTGGTGCACACCTGCATTCCCAGCTACTTGGGAGGTTGAGGGAGGAGAATCCTTTGAACCTGGGAGGTGGGTTCCCCAGGCTTAGAGCAAAACACCCATCTTGTCTGTCTCCACTCTCATTCCAGGCAATCGTGGTCATTTCCACAGCCTCAACCACTGCCTACCTGGGATGCATCCCCAGCCCAAGTCTCCAGCCCAAACCTGCCTTCCTAGCCCCAGACCCATCTGTCCTGGCACACGTTGCCCCCTGGGTCCCAAGCAACCTCAGCCAATGAGTCCAACGTCAACTTCCTGTCCTTGCCTGACACTGTCAGCCCTGAGGTCAGACTTGACCATTCACCTCCAGTACCTGATAGGTCCATCAGTCCTTTGGAACATATCCCACGAATATTCCCCAAACCAGGCACCGGACTCCACACATCAACACCGTCATGTGAGTCACCAGCATCCCTGGCAGGGACCCCTGTCCCAGCCGCCAACTCATCTCCTTCCTGTCCCTTGAGTTCTGTGTCACATTCCAGAGGCCACAAGAAGAAAAATGACAACCTTAATGAAATTAAAAGAATTGAGAAGACATTTCCCTATGGTCCAAAGTCTTTCCAACTGAGAAACACATATCAAGATCCAGCCTGCCAACCCTGCGGTTAAATGTTCCTGAAATAATTAAAGCCCAGGGCAACACAGCCCCCACTCCACAAGTACTCCTAGCATAGTAAGACTTGCTTCTCTGGAGGGGCTTGAAATCTCCAGTGTGTACCCTGCCCCTCTCTGTCATAGCTAACAGGAATGTGTTCCGTGTCTTCTTCCTGCTCAAAGGACCATCCACAAATCTGCGCAGGCAGCACTTTCGGCCAAGCGGGGGGATGCGAGAACTTCCCACCATTTCCCACTTACGCACTGCATTCGTCAGGAGCCTCCCTCACAAATTACAAGAGCGCCACGGCAGACACACGACGTTCCAGTGGGTGGCCATGTCTTCATGTCAGCTTGAAAGATCATCACCAGGGAAATATCTATATCTCGGCAGAGAGAGCTTCAGCCTGTGTAGTCCAGCTGTGCTCAAATGGAAATCCAGAAACCCAGATGTTGGTCCAAACAACCTGTCTCGGACAGCCAGCTCTGCAGGTCCCCAGCGTGGGAGTGAACTGGGTGGGCCACCTACCCTGCCTGCCCACATCCCTGCCTCCTGGAATCCTGGACCCTGAGAACCAGGGGGATGTGGTGGGGAACAGGCAAGTCTTGTGCAGAAAGCCAAGATGCCACCCAAATCCATTCTGCAGTCTAGGTGGGTGATATTCTGGTCTGCACCACACCAGTGCATGAGGGGATGGAGGATGGAGTCTAGACAAGCCAAATGTAAAAAGATATTGCCCAAGTATTTTGTGCTTTGTCTGTGTTACAATGCTATGCCCAGCCCAGCGTGGTGGCTCACACCTGTGATCTCAGCACCTTGGGAGGCCGGGGCAGGAGGATCACCTTAGGTCAGGAGTTCGAGACCAGCCTGGCCAACATGGTGAAACCCCATCTCTACTAAAAATACAAAAATTAGCCAGGTGTGTTGGTGGGCACCTGTAATCCCACCTACTCGGGAGGCTGAGGCAGGAGAATCACTTGAGCCCAGGAGGTGGAGGTTGCAGTGAGCGGAGATCATGCCACTGCACCCCAGCCTGGGCAACAGAGTAAGATTAGGTCTTTAAAAAACATAAAAATAAATAAATGCTATGCCCAGCATTTTTCATGTACTGTCTTTTTTTTTTTTTTTTTTGAGACGGAGTCTCGCTCTGTCGCCCAGGCTGGAGTGCAGTGGCGGGATCTCGGCTCACTGCAAGCTCCGCCTCCCGGGTTCACGCCATTCTCCTGCCTCAGCCTCCCAAGTAGCTGGGACTACAGGCGCCCGCCACTACGCCCGGCTAATTTTTTGTATTTTTAGTAGAGACGGGGTTTCACCGTTTTAGCCGGGATGGTCTCGATCTCCTGACCTCGTGATCCGCCCGCCTCGGCCTCCCAAAGTGCTGGGATTACAGGCGTGAGCCACCGCGCCCGGCCATGTACTGTCTTATTATCTCAGTAAATCCCATATAACCTTCCTATGAAAGTGTATCTCATTTATCTCCATTTTATAGATGAGAAAACTAAGGCCCCTGGAGTCGTATTAATTTTCCAAGATCGCATTGCTCATAAAGGGTACAGCAGGGACCCGAGCTCGACACTCTCACCCTCAAACATTTCCACAAGTGTAGACCAATGGCTCTCAACTGGGGTGGTTTTGCTCATGTACCACTCCCTTGTCCCACAGCATTTGAAAGCATCTGGAGACATCTGGGGTAGCCATAGCTGGGAGGGTAGGATGGCACCTAGAGGATGGAGACCAGAGATGCTGCTAACCATCCTACAATACACAGGACGCCCCTCCCACCACCACCACGAATGGTCTGACCCCAAGTGTTGTGACTGTGCCAAAGCTGAGAAACCCAGGTTTCTCCTCAGCAAGAAGGGAAAATACCTGCAACGTGGATGCACCTCTACAGGCGCCCCAGGCTGACAATAACCTTCCTGATCTGGTTTCAACCCTGGATGCTTTTACCTGGTGCGTCCATCAGGGATTTCAGGGACTCCAGTGAGTTATCACCCTTGAATGCTCGGTTCTGCCTGACGACCCAGAAATCTCTGCCAAGATGCCTGGTCTTGGGGAAGGCTCAGCAAGTGGTTGAGGTTGATAACCAAATACCTAGGAGAGACTTTTCTCTCCCTCCAGGAGGAGCTGTGGGTCAGACACACCCTGGGATCATTCACAAGCGGTCAATAAAGACTTGGCGAGGGCCAGGTTTTCTAGGCCTTCTCAATGGGATGGGTGTTTGTGGATACACAAGAAGCCTGTGAAACTTCTGATATTGGCAGGAAATCAATGTCCCCCACCCTCCACCCCCCCACATCCCCAACATAAACACATGCCCTGCAGCAGGACTTGGCACTCAGGGGCTCCTGGGGTCCCGATTTATCTGCTAAAACGTCCTCTAGCCACCACCGAATAAAGCAACCCCTTGCCACCCAACCACAAGAGCACAGCCTGGGAGCCACTCCAAGGGACACCAAGTCACAGTAAAACCTCAGCCATCCAGAGCACCAGGCCTGGTGATGAGAAAGAACATTTTATCCTTAAAAGCATCTGAATGCCTATGCTGCTTCTTGCAGAGAAAAGTCCAAAATAATCTGCTATTAAAGAACGAGGATGGTTTTGACATTTTTACCAAGCTAATGGTCTACGCAGACAAAATCTCATAAAAGGGCACTCTGTTCTTCTTGATCCACTCAGACATGGCCTGTGAGTGAAGAAACGGGCTCTCCTCCTCAAAGAAATCACTGCTGGTCCTCACACCAGCCTGACACTGCTTCATGGGTTCTTCAAAGAGAGTATTCCCATAGAAACTAAAAGGGAAGAGGAATGTGTCTGGCGGCCATTGCGGGCAGCAGTGGGCTTTGGGCCAAATTTTAAGTTTGAAAATCCAGATTCCCTCTTTTCGAGGGGCCGCCAGACTGAGCAGATACAGGCACCGTGAAAAGAGCGTGCCATGTTCAGATTAAGGAAACAAGGATGGTTTCTGTTCAGTTCCTCCATCATGCCTCAGGTCATGCGATTCCCATTTCCCTCTGTGGACCAAACAATTCAGTGGGGTTTCTGCCTTTTAAATATTTCATTATCAACATATCATCCTTTTAGCCTCCAGAAAGCATTTTAACATGGAGATTCTGGCTTAAGACTCTTGTGGGTCTGTCTGTCTGTCTCTCTCTCTTTTCCTTGAAACAGTCTCACTTTGTGACCTACGCTGGAGTGCAGTGGCAAGATCCCAGCTCACTGCAGCCTGACCTTCCAGGCTGTAGCAATCCTCCCACCTCAGCCTCCAAAGTACTTGGGACTACAGGCACACACCACTATAACTGGCTTTTTTTTTTTTTTTTTTTTTTTTAGGTAGATATGAGGCTTCACCATGTTGCCCAGCTGGTCTTAAATTCCTTGGCACAAGTGATCCTCCCTTTTCAGCCTCTCAAAGTGCTGGGATTATTGGCTTGAGCCATCATGCCCAACCAAGAACCTTGTCTCTTTTGATGCACCCCAGAACAAAACATCACTGCAAAAACACACCAAGGCATGAGTTTTAGTCCTAAGTCCCATTTATCCACCATACACTATGTGCCAGGCACAAGGCTAAGTGCTTCTATGGACGAGCTTCCCTTAATCTCAGCAGTAACAACCCCAGGCAATGGGGCCTGTTGACAGATCCATTTGCCACTGAAGACAGTAAGGCTCAGAGAGGGTAAGTGGCTTGTGCCATGTCAGCCAGCTAAGGAGGGGCAGAACCAGGATGCAAACCCCAGCCGCCTGGCTCCAGACTCGGGTTCCCAAGGTCCCACTACACTTGGTCACTCCACTGCATTCTGGTATCCTGGTCTTTGGCAGAGTCCACGTAAAAGAGGGAGGTAGAGGGAGTGAGAGGGACTTCATGCAATAAAGTGTCCCGGCGTTACACTGCCACCGTAATTGTGTCCCGACCAGGACCTCTCCCCTCTCATCCTTTCCGTGATCGGCCCTGGAAAACCTTCCACAGAACTATCCTCCTTCTCCCAGGATCTCAGAGAGAATTCATCTGAGTTCAGTGTCCAGGTGACCCAAGCTCTGAATGCGGTAACGTGCACGGAGAGATGAGGATGTCACCATGAGCAAGCCTCCCAGACAGCATCCGGGAGCAACCCCAAGACTGTGCAGGGGGGGGCTCTGATGCCGCCCACGGCGAGGAGGGCCGCCCGTGCTGCCTAAATGGGTTCAGAATGAAGGCCACCCTCTCGCCCATGTGGGGCTCATTCACCACGAATCCAATTATTAAGACAAGTTCAGCTGAGCAAATGGTCAAACATAAAAACATGTGGAAGGAACAAAGAAGTCAACCCCATTATCCATCAAAAACCGTCAAGGTGGCGGCCCTCACTGAGGGTTACAGCTCTCCAGTGGGACCTCATCTGCCCTCCAAACCCATGTGCCTCCTCAGTGGAAGGCCAGCAAAGCCACACAGGAAGAGTTGGCGTAGGAAAGCAGAAAGTGAACCCCAGGAGGACAGGCTGGCCACGGAGCCCCATCCCACACACACAGACCCAGTGACTCAGGGGCCCACGTGTGCAGGACACCGGGAGCTCACAGGGACAGCGCCCCGGGGGATGGAAGGAACTTTGCCTCCCTGTCCCTCTCTGTAGGGATGGAAAGAGGAGAGCGATTTCTGGGATGGAAGCCATCTGCCTTCTCTCAACTCTCGCTGCCCAACCAGAAAGGGAAGAAAAACAGGAAGATGAGGGACAGGTGAGGAGCTGGGTGAGCGCCGCCAGCCCGCAGCCCAGCAGAGCAGGGCTTGGCCAAGCATGGCAGGGACTTCCCCCCTACCCACACCACAGGCCCCTCGCCAGGTGAGAGGCACCAACAGAGTCCCAGACAGATGCCCCAGACAGGATGCCCAGCGCAACCCCCGCCCCTTCCGCTAGGGGCCCCCAGGACGCGGGGCTCCCCCTCCCCTTTTGGCCAGCCGCAGAGTCCAGCGGGTCTCCCGGCCAGGGACGTCGTGGGAGAATCAGGAAGTCGAAGCCACACAGCCGAGAAGGGGCAGCTGGCGTCTCGGAGGCCGTCACGAGCTGTCACTCCGCGCCCGCCGGAGTTGCCGCTCAATTACCAACTTTAACCCAGGGCCGGCCACGGAGCCTCCCGCCGCCCCTACCCCGCGCCCCTGGCACCCCCGGACCCCCGCGCCAACGTCACTTACTCCTCTGCCGTCGCCACCTGTCTGGGTGCCGGTCTTCTTCCTGCCTGGCCGCGGCGCGTCCTCCCCGTCCTCGCAGTCCTCGGGCTGCGCGCTTCCCCTCTCCAGCAACAGCCGCAGCCTCTTCTCTTCGGGAGGGACGTCGTCCTCCTCCCTCCTGGGCCCGCCATCCCTGCCTCGGGGCTTGCCAGTGGCTTCGGAGCTGCCGGAAGGGCTGGCCATGGCTCTGGGGGCTCTGCCTGCACCTGGGGAAGAGGAAGGACCCGGCGCGAGCGGCCTGTCGGCGGAGCTGGGGCGTCTGAACGCGGGCTCGGTGGGTCCGCGCGGCGCGGAGCTGGGCATCAGGGCGGGCGCGGACTCCTCCGCGGGCCGCTCCTGGCTCTCTGGCGCCCTCTGCTGGCCGCCCGCGCTCACCGCGGACACGCCGGGCCCTGGCCTGCGCTGCGCTCACCTGCCCAGGCCCAAGCAGTCGCTGTCCCCTGCCTGTGGCCAGGCCCGCTCTGGCCAGGCCCTGCACCTCCTCCCCGCCCCAGCCAGGTTGCACCCCGATGGTCTCCCTGCCCAAGGAGGAGAGAAGAGAAGGGACGCCCCGAGAGGGTGGACATCGGCCACAGCCACCTTGTCTTTGCTCTTACCCTGCGTCTTCCATGATTTGGAGGTGGTGGGAAAACTGAGGCTGCTCAAAACTCGTGGAGAATTCCGCCTGCAGGATGACATGAATGCACCTTCGCATTGCCTACCAACAGATCTTTTTTGAGCATCTCTGTGGACCAGGCGTGGTGATGGGGGAGGGGATATTGTGGTGAACATGACAGGCGTTGCCTTCACCCAGTGGGGCTCAGTGCTGGGTGAGAAGGCATTGAGAATGGACATTGTCAATTGGGCCAAAGGAGGCCAAGAAGAAGTGCTGGGGGCATGGGAACTAAAAAAGACAGGAGGCTCAGCAGGTCTTGGAGCTGGGAGAGGGCCAGCAGCAGCGGCTATTCCAAAGGAAACAACAGCTGAGAGAGGTCTCAGAGAGTTGTTCTCAGCCCAGTGGAGGGTGTTCAGGCAGAAGGAACAGCGTGTGCAAAAGCCCAGAGGCTGGGAAAGAAGCAGAAAGAGGACTGTGGGGCTGGAGCATGGTGGGCAAGGTGAGAGAGGTGTGGTGGGGGGACAGATTGCCTGGGACCCAGCTGTGCAGGGGCAGAGGAGATAGGGGATCCTTGCAGGCCCCCAGCCAGGGCTGAGGCACAGAGACAATGCAGGTGGGCAAAGGGAGGAGACGTGGAGAAATATTTTGGAGGCATGCCCTGATGAATGAGCCCAGGATGCACCCTTAGTGTCAGTGTGGAGCTCCTTCCTTGGTTGTGTGATGAGCTGAAGCCGGGGGTATTTTCTGGACATCGAAATGCTACACCCAGAGTCCAGGACAGGCTAAGTGAACACCAGCATCTCCTGGCCCACCTCAAAAGCAGGAGAGACAGGGGAGACTGGGGAGGGCCGGGGTGGAAGGGGAAGCCAGGAAGGCAGGAGAGGCCAGGGAAGCAGAGGAGGCCAGGGAGGCAGTGGAGGCAGTAGAGGCTGGGGAGGCTGTGTCCTTTCCATGATTCTGCCCAGGATCCTAGGTCCCTGTACTCCCTGAGCTTCCCCACCCCAAGCTCTGGAAACATGTTGCACAATGGTCTCCCCACTAAGCTCCTGATTGCAGCCCCTACCCTGCTGTGCTCCCTATTTCAACCCTAACAGCTCTCACAGTGGGCAGCACATAGTAGGTGCTCAGGAATCACTGGTGGGGGAGCACATGGGTCTGCTCAGCACCTTCCTCTCTCCTCCAGCTCTCCCCTGTCACGAAATAATTCTGATAAGAACACATGGGCTTTGAGTCCCTCTTCTATTACTTTCCATATGCTAATCCATCTATACCTCACAGCAGCCCTGGGGGTAGGTGCAATGAGGATGCCCATTTTATAGAGAAGGAAACTGAGGTATAAAGAGGGTAAGTGACATAGGCACACTACAGAGGCTGGGGCCAAGTGATCAGAGCACTCAATCCCCAAAGGCAAGGTGGATGAAGTTACCATAAAAGACAGCAGAGTCAAAGCTGCAGCCAGAATAGCCTGACTCGCAGAGACATATGGTGCCAGCTGATCATGGCATTCCTAGAAGTGAAATAGATAAGAAGCCTGCCACATTTTTACTGGATCTGTGTTTGCAGAAGAATTCTAGGTCAGGTGAGCAGAAGTCTAATCTGAATCATAAAAACAGAGTCACAGTCCCCAGTCAATTCCCAGACATAAGCCAGTTCACAGACCCAGAGTCCCTTGTCTGAATGGGAAGCCAGGTCCCCTCCAGAAAGGACTCTGCTCCAATGCCACAAATTAATACTGTCAATCTTTCTCCCAGCCTGCCCCCAAGGGAATACACAGCCTTTTACCAGGATGACTGAATAGTAGAAAAGGAACTAATGGGACCTGTGCAGGATCACTGGACACAGGCTCTGAACTGGCACTAGGGCGAGACTAGGGTCTACCAGTCAGAAAAGACATTTTGGAAGTCAGGTGAATGTTGGTGCAAGTTCATGTCATGGTAGGTCCATTGGGTCCCCAAATCCATCCTCTGGTTATATACAAAATGGCTATGTTGAGATTTAAATTCAGGGTATCCAACTTAGAGGCTGTGCTCTTACTCATGAAACATTCTGACACTAGTAACCAATTTAAAAATGCAAACACCTCCTGGAGCTAGCGAGAGTCCTCCAAACAGTCATGTAAATTGGTTCTGTCAAGGATTTCCTCCTAACCCCCCCACCCCCCCGCTGAGAGCCAGTTGCAAGGAGAGACTAGGGAAGGTCATTGGTTAACTTTGTTGCTAAAAGCTCCTCTGGATAAAGAAGAGCTTTATCCAGAAAAAAAGAAGCAAAATAGAGTTCAGCAGAAGTTGAGAAAAGAAGCAAATAGAGTTCAGCAGAAGAGGTAAGAAAGTAAGTTTATGTTTGACCAGGCACAGTGGCTCACGCCTGTAATCCTAGCACTTTGGGAAGCCAAGGCGGGCAGATCACGAGGTCAAGAGATCGCACCATCCTGGCCAACATGGTGAAGCCCCGTCTGTACTAAAAATTCAAAAATTAGCTGGCCATGATGGCACACCCCTGTAGTCCTAGCTACTCGGGAGCCTGAGGCAGGAGAATCACTTGAACGCAGGAGGCAGAGGTTGCACAGGGCCGAGATCATGCCACTGCATTCCAACCCGTTGGTAGAACAAGACTCCATCTCATAAAACAAAACAAAACAAAACAAACAAAAAAACCTAAGCTTATTTTTAAGCCTGAACAAGTGTAGTGGTTTAGGGGTTCTGCAAACACGGCCCCAGTCAGGCTACAAGATGTTGTGGCAGCAACATTTACACCCAGTCACTCCTGGCCGGCTGAGCCACTTTTCAAAACACCCTTGCACGGCTGTGCAGAGCGGATGGCTCCACTGGCAGCCGGCAAAGCCATAACTCACACTGTCACCACTGCCCTCAAACCCCTTCAGTAAGTACTTTGTTTTTTTGAGACGGAGTCTTGCTCTGTCATCCAGGCTGGAGTGCAGTGGCACAATCTCGGCTCACTGCAAGCCCTGCCTCCTGGGTTCATGCCATTCTCCTGCCTCAGCCTCCCAAGTAGCTGGGAATACAGGCGCCCGCCACCATGCCCGGCTAATTTTTTGTATTTTTAGTGGAGACGGGGTTTCACCGTGTTAACCAGGATGGTCTCGATCTCCTGACCTTGTGATCTGCCTGCCTCGGCCTCCCAAAGTGCTGGGATTAGAGGCGTGAGCCACCGCGCCCGGCCTGGTAAGCACTTTTAATCAATGCAACAGGAATAAACATTTGCTGCAGAGTGGCAATGTGCAGGGAGGAAAATGCTTCCACTCAGGCTCAGAAAGCAAAACCTCCTGGCTGTTTGCATCTGTGCAAGAGCTCGCAGGAAAAGCCCTCTGTGTGGCTGCCAGCCTCACACATTCCCCCCAAGGGGTGAGTTTCTCTTTCCATATTAATCTATGCTGTGACGTGCCATCTGTCAACCACCACACCATTCTCAGTTGCCATTTCAAAGCATCTTTGCCCTGTGAATGGTAACCAGCCCTGCCCTGCAATCCCCCAGGTGACATTGAACTTAAATGAGAGAGAAAACAGGTTCCAGGGTGGATTTCAGTTCAGCATCTTGGAGTCTCTGTGTGGACATGAAATCTGTCTCCCCAGCTGTGGGCTGCATCTTTGTTTGTCATCTGGTTTGGTTCTTGGGGACTTGGAAACTCGTGGGCACCTTTGCAATTTGTCAAGAAGCTGCACGGCCCTTCCAACAAAAGCGAGGAATAGGAACAGAAGCCCAAGGCTTCAGATCAATGTGCAACTTAAAGGAGACTCAGTGTAAAAGCAAACAAGAGTCAGAGGGATGCCTAAGGCAGAGTCTAGTCCCCAGGGCAGCTATAAGGCAAAGAGAAAGAGAGAGAGATAGACAGAGACAGAGACAGAAAGACAGAGGGAGATGGGAGGAGACATGAGGCACCCAGCCCTCTGCATCAAAATCTGTACAAGAGGGGCCTCCTAAAAATGCAGGAGGCTGAGGTGGGTGCACACAGAAGTTCAAGACTAGCCTGTGCAAAATAGCAAGACCGTGACTTTACAAAAAATACAAAAATTAGCCGGGTGCGGTGGTGTATGTCTGTGGTCCCAGTTACCCAGGAGGCTGAGGTAGGAGGATGGCTTGAGCCTAGGAGGTAGAGCTGCAGCGAGCTGAGATAGCACCACTGCACTCCAGCCTGGGCAACAGAGTGAGACTTCATCTCAAACAAATTTAAAAAAAATTTTTAAAGGATCACCCTGGCTACTTGAATGGGTAATAAGAAGGTAACAGCAGAAGCAAGGAGACCAGCAGGGAGATTCTGCAGGTGGGAGTCCACAGTGGCTCAGACCAGGCTGGCGCTGAAGACTGCCTGAATTCTGTACATATTTTGATGATGAAGCAACTCACCGACTCTTGAAGAGTGGGCTCTAGGAGACTGTATTTTTAATAAGCTCTCAGAGGAGTCTAATGCAGGCTGAAGTTGAAGAACTGATTTAGGTGAAGCTTCTGTTTCATTCTTGGGGAAGTACCTACTGACTTTTCTCTAAGCCACCTCAAAAGAGGTGCTAGATAAGATGTGCTCCAATGTCTGAACATGTGTGCACAGCTCTAAAGCCAACCTCAGGACACTGAGTCAAAGGTTAGGAGTACAACAGTGAACAACCACTGTCCTCTTTTCAATGAGCTTTGCATTTAATGAGAGAAATAAAAAGAAAAAAAATCATTTTCAACTCAGAATGGTAAGAGTTATGGTGACAGTATGCCTGGGGCAATGGGAGCAAATAGAAGGGGCACCCGATTGGCTAGGTGCAGTTGTTCTTGCCTGTAATCCCAGCACTTTGGGAGGCCAAGGTGGGTGGATCACTTGAGGCCAGGAGTTCGAAAACAGCCTGGCCAACATGGTGAAATCCTGTCTTTACTAAAAATACAAAAAAAATTAGCCAGATGTGGTGGTGGGCACCCGTAATTCCAGATACTCAGAAGGCTGAGGTGGGAGAATTGCTTGAGCCCGGGAGGCGGAGATTGCAGTGAGCCAAGATCGCGCCACTGCACTCCAGCCTGCATGGTCAGAGCGAAACTCCGTCAAAAAAATAAATAAATAAATAAATAAATAAAAGTCCGGAGGTGGGTGGACATGCAATCTCTATCAGGTGGTGAGAAATCTTTCTCCACCACAGGACTCCTCAGTTGAAGACTAGAAAATGGTAGGAATTAGCCAGGTCGATAGGAGAGGTGTGGAAGATCATTCCCAGCAGAGGGAAGAGCACGTGCAAAAATCAAGACGTGAGAGGGTGAGGAGCTGAGAGATGTTCATATAATTCTAAAAAGTGACTAATATAGAGGTAAGTTGGAGCCAAATCTTAAAGGCTCTTTGTCGTGTTTATCCTGTAGACAAAGGGAGACAGTAGATGTTTTTAGGCAGGGGAGTAATGATCCACTTTGTGCTATAAAAAGAGCAGTCTGGCTGGAGGAGAGTGGGAGGTGAGTAGACCAGGTAGGAGGCTGCAATACGCCAAGTGAGACAAGATGGTTGGCTGGACCAAGGCTGTGGCAGTGAGGATGGAGAGGAGACAGTAGACTAACTTGACTGAGAAAGAGGGAGGAATGAAGGAGGAGGCCCAGGTGTTTTGGAAGCTGGGTGGATGGTGGTGTGAATCTGAAGTGGTGAGCCCAGGCAGAAGAGGAAATCAGGAGAGGCAAGGTAAGATGAGGTCAATGCAAGAAAGACAGCCAAGTGGAGATAACAACTGGGCCGTTGGATTCATCAGCCTGGAGTTATACAGAGAGCTCTGGAATGGAAATAAAGAGGAAAGGACTTTGGGAATAGGTGAATCCTCCCAGAATAATGTGTAGAGAAAGGAGAATAGAACACAGAGGACAGAAAAAGGGAAGAGATTCGTTATTAAAACCAACCATCCATCAGACATCTTCCAATAAAACACTTGTTAGAGGTTTCCTCAGTGTGAGTTATTCAGGACCAGAGCTAAAGACCATATTCCCAATGAAATCACTGCGGGGAAGGTCTTCATGAAAACATTGAATGCTGCTTTTAAAACAACAACAACAACAAAAAGGCTTTAGCTACTGCACAGACCCTGGAGCAATTTTTCGGCAAGAGTCTATCAAAAACGAATGTGATCTGACGCAAAGAGGTGTCATATCTAGTGTAAAAATCCAATTCCAATGTCCATAACAGCCTTTCTGCCAGGTACAAGACCCTAATCCAGTTGAAGTGATTTTCTATTGATTAATAGGCTGGGAATACACAGGTTGTTGGTTTTTGAGATTTCCCTCCCTGTACCTTCATGCCAGCTGTGAAAGAGTCAAAAGGCTCCTAACTGTCAAAATAAAAATGACACTTGGTCACAGAGGAAACAGATTATAGGTCAATCACATTGATGACTTTTTAACTATGAGAAGCCATTAATGTTACTGAATAAGCAAATCTGTTTGCATAACCAGATTTTTATAGGCTACTGGGAATAAAGGTTTTCCTAAGTGGGTGATTTGTATAACGATAGCCTTTGGGTCTCTGATGGAACAGCTCTGATGAGGAAATGTTCCTTTAATTATGTGGAAGGCCAATTACCACGTTATAGCCACATTGTTTTGCAGATTGCATATAATTTCACCATTTCCATAGCTTCAGCACTATAATTCTGGAGAAAATTCAGGCACCAAGGAGACACTTGAGGCACACTATGCTGGAGACAAAGATGTTTTAGAGAATTCAATATAAGCTTCAACATTATTTTGTTGAATAAAACATAATGCAATAATGAGCTTGTGTATGTCAACTCTATAGTGGAGGTAATAATAGCTAGAGAGAGCATGTCCCGTCTCCTCTTTTTAATGCTCATTCGAGTAATACATAATGCTATAGAGAGAAACTTTCTCTAATATGCGCTTCATCTCAGGCTAAGCGTGTTTTGGGCAACTGTGCTTCATGAAAAAAAAAAGTAAAGGATCTAATTTGGGAGCCATTCACAAAAGTACTACCAGTTGATGTTTTTTTATACTCTGAGATTTCTTATTCCCAGTGCCTACCAGGAATGGACTTTCTGGAGAAGCTCAGATTAATCACTCCTTATGAGAGGTGACAGCATGCTGGCAGCCCTCACAGCCCTCGTTCGCTCTCGATGCCTCCTCTACCTGGGCTCCCACTTTGGCGGCACTTGAGGAGCCCTTCAGCCCGCAGCTGCACGGTGGGAGCCCCTTTCTGGGCTGGCCAAGGTCGGAGCTGGCTCCCTCAGCTCGCAGGGAGGTGTGGAGAGAGAGACGTGAGCCGGAACCGGGGCTATGCGCGCTACTTGTCTGCCGGCTGGAGTTCCGGGTGGGCGTGGGCTTGGCAGCCCCGCACTAGGATCTGCAGGCCAGCCTGGCCAGCCCGGGCAGTGAGGGGCTTGGCACCTGGGCCAGCAGCTGCTGTGCTCGACTTCTCGCCGGGCCTTAGCTGCCTCCCCGCGGGGCAGGGCTCGGGACCTGCAGCCCGCCATTCCTTAGCCTCCCCCCTCCGTGGGCTCCTGTGCGGCCCGAGCCTCCCCGACGAGCACCGCCCCCTGCTCCATGGCACCCAGTCCCATCGACCACCCAAGGGATGAAGAGTGTGGGCACACGGAGAGGGACTGGCCGGCAGCTCCACCTGCAGCTCCTGTGCGGGATCCACTGGGTGAAGCCAGCTGTGCTCCTGAGTCTGCTGGGGACTTGTAGAACCTTTATGTCTAGCTAAGGGATTATAAATACACCAATCGGCACTCTGTATCTAGCTCAAGGTTTGTAAACACAACAATCAGCACCCTGTGTCTAGCTCAGGGTTTGTGAATGCAACAATCAACACTCTGTATCTAGCCATTATGGTGGGGACTTGGAGAACCTTTGTGTGGACACTCTGTATCTAGCTAATCTAGTGGGGACGTGGGGAGCCATTGTGTCTAGCTCAGGGATTGTAAACGCACCAATCAGTGTCCTGTCAAAACAGACCACTCAGGCTCTCTGTAAAATGGACCAATCAGCAGGATGTGGGTGGGGCCAGGTAAGAGAATAAAAGCAGGCTGCCCGAGCCAGCAGTGGCAACCTGCTGGAGTCCCCTTCCACACTGTGGAAGCTTTGTTCTTTTGCTCTTTGCAATAAATCTTGTTGCTGCTCACTCTTTGGGTCCACACTGCCTTTATGAGCTGTAACACCGAGAAGGTCTGCAGCTTCACTCCTGAAGCCAGCGAGACCATGAACCCACCAGGAGAAATGAACAACTCCAGACGTGCAGCCTTAAGAGCAGTAACACTCTCCATGAAGGTCTGCAGCTTCACTCCTGAACCAGCGAAACCACAAACCCCACCAGAAGGAAGAAACTTCAAACACATCCGAACATCAGAAGGAACAAACTCCAGACACGCCACCTTTAAGAACTGTAACACTCACCAGGAGGGTCTGCGGCTTCATTCTTGAAGTCAGTGAGGCCAAGAACCCACCAATTCTGGACACACTTACACACTTGGCACTGGGAGGTCTGTATGGAGCAAATGAAGAAATCAGCAGAGTGAATATAGAGGGAGAACAACATGATGGGGGAAGGCAAAGTTACTGCCATGTTGGTTTCAATTCTGCCACTCATGAGAGAGACCCATGATCTCCTCTCTCTAGGACTCTGTTGTTCTTATCTGTAGAGTGGAGGAATAGAAGGGCCTTTTAAAGTATTAACATTTCCTGACCAATTTGTAAAACACTTTCATTCAAACTGATGGGAATCTTGACTACTTTGCCAAGAGGACATAATAATCATCAAGCTGAATGCACCAAACAACATTGCCTGAAACTATCTAAGCAAAAACTGAGAAAGTTACACAGGACAGACAAACCTCCTATAAGAGTAAGAACTCTTTAGCACATACTTAGTGTGTCAAAGACAATGCTATGTTCACACCATTCCTCTTCCTGGGCATGCAGAAAGACTACATTTCCCAGCCTCACTTGCAGTTAGTTTGGAACCATGTGACTGCATTTCCGCCAATAGGAATGTAAGAAATCCCTTCTGGGCCAAGGTTATCAAAGGCAAGTGTGAGCTATGTTCCCTCTCTTCCTATCCATATGGCTACAAGTGAAAAACTCTGAGATGGCAGACTAAAAGATGGAAACCTCCAGAATCTCTGAATCACTATTGGACAAGGGCCCCCAAGGAGAACCCCTGCCCTGCACCAGACTATGCTATGGGTGTCAACCCACTGAGAGTTCAGGGTTTATTCGTCTCAGCAGCAGTCTATTCTTACACTGACTAACATCCTAAGGTTTGAGAGATCTAGCATATTGTTAATTGAAGCTAGATTTCAATTACACTGAAAACCTTATCTATTTAAAAATAAAAACTCTCCAAAAAAACCCAAATAATCCACATTCCTTTTAACCACATGTGGCAAATTTGCAAAAAAAAAAAAAAAAACTGGCCACATATTAGGCCATAAAGAAGTCTCAACAAAATCCACTATACGATTGACATTGTCCAGACCACATTTTCCTGACCATAATGCAACAAAATTAGAAGTCAACAGCAAGAAGATAGCTAAACACAAGCATACATTTGGAAAATTAAAAATATCTTTTCATGAGTTAAATGAAAAATCACAATAGAAATTACTAAACATTTACAACTGAACAAAAACACATCTTGATATATATATACATATATATATGTATTTTTTTGTGAGTCTTCCAACTTTATTCTCTTTTATAAGGTTATTTGGTAAATTCTGGGTCTCCTGCAATTCCTCATACAGTTTTATGCTGTTTGTCAATTTCTGTGGCGGGGATGAACTTATCGTAGTTCTCATAGACCAGGGTTTGCATGTCGCTGTCTAGAGCCCGGATCTGCTGCACCATGTCCGTCTCACTGTCCATCAGCTGGGCCAGAGGGCACTCTCTAGGCAGCTTGTCTAGGTAAACTTCCGGGTTGAAGTGTGCCCCGTTCAGATCAGTGGGGTCCAGGGGGTCGGTCCCCGCGAGGAGTCTCACCGCCTCCCCTTCCGAGAGGCCGTTGTAAAGCTTTAACATCCTGTGTGCCTTCCGCCGACGCTCCGTGAGCCTCCCCCTCGGGCCCTTCTGGGGAGTCCCCAGGTCCACACCCCGGGCTAGGCCCAGTGACAGCTGCCGCCGCCATAGCTCCAACTGCAGCCGACGGGCGTAACTTTTTATATTTTTACGTTGGATACATGAAGATACTTGGCTTTTGCTTTCATCACATCGTTGAGGAAAGAGGTGGTTGCTTATGGTACCCCTGTTTTTACTGCAACCTGTAATGGATGAGAACCTCCCTGTTGCAGAGAGCAAAACACTGAACTAAATTGTGTTGTAAAACAGCCCTTTGTTGGGGGATTGGGAGTGATCATGCAAACGCTTGCAAATTTGCACAGTGACAGAGACAATCGTTTGGGCAGCTGTTCACTATATGAAAACGCAATTGACCAAAAGTCAGTTACTGAGCTATCTCAATACTTTCATTTTATTTTAACTTTTGGCAGCAGGGTGCAATTAAAGGAGAGAAAGAAAACAAAGCGATAAGTGTAAGATAATGTACACACATGTGTAAAAGAAAATGACAAGACAGGATGACTATTTGTCTCTTGGTTAGCTCCTTGTGCTCTATGTCTCCTTCCTCAGAGAAAATCGTTTTCCTTTGTCCAGATTTGTTAGGGTGGATAATCCAGGCGCCTGCTCCCCCATGATGGAAGCCAAAGACGTCCCTGGAGCCGCCTCCCGCTGCACCCTTTCCTGCACTGCCCACATGGACACAACTCAGCCGATTAGACTTCCTCTCAGAACTTTAGTCTTGAGCAAAGGGATTAAAGGGCGAAGTGACTGAAGGTATGCCCTTCCAAAGTGGTATGTGAGCTAATGGCTAAAGTTTGCCAAGCCCATCCAATCACTTTTTTTCATAATTTTTATTTATTTATTTTTTTGAGACAGAGTCTTGCTCTGTTGCTCAGGCTGGAGTGCAGTGGCATGTTCTCGGTTCACTGCAACCTCTGTCTCCCGGCTTCAAAGGAGTCTCCTGTCTCAGCCTCCCCAGTAGCTGGGATTACAGGCATACGCCACCATTCCTGGCTAATTGTGTGGGTGTGTGTGTGTATTTTTAGTACAGACAGGGTTTCACCATGTTGGCCAGGCTGGTCTCGAACTCCTGACCTTGTGATTCGCCTGCCTCAGCTTCCCAAAGGGCTGGGATTACACGTGTGAGCCATCGCGCCCAGCTTCAAGAAGTTTTAAGCAGAGCTCAGAGGTCTTAACCACAGACACCTCGGAGGAACATTTTTGAAACACTTTCCAGCTTCCTCAATAGGAATGGAAGCCAAACTCCGAATTGATGACTCCTTTGAGGAAGTCGAGAGCTGTACAGAAAGCCAGGAACAGGGGAAAGGGAGAGATGCGTCCCGAATGATCCTGTGCCAATTCTTTCTGGAATCCTCGATGTGATCTCAGCTGTCCTTTCCATACTTGACACAGTGATTGTGGCACCCACTGGTCTAGCTGTGGTCTACAAGGAACCCCCAAAGGGAGGGGCACAGTGAGCAGGGGCAACCGCCTGAGTGACTAGAATTTGAGAGGGCAGGTTGGTTGCAGGGAGAGGACTGCCCAAATGCCATGTGTCTGGACTTAGACTGCTCGGTTCAAATTGGACTTCACCTTTTTTGACTTCGTGATTTGGTACAAGCTACATGAAAATCCGTTGCGCCTTTTCTAGTCTGTAAAATAATCATGAAATGTGCGCTAATAACATGGAGACTATGCAGATGAAATGAAACAAGCTGCATAGAGCACAGAGCTCAGAGCCTGGCCTTCAGGAAGCCCTCAGTAAGGGTTCATGATGCCATGGTGTCTGTCGTCATCCTCTTTATCCTCATCATCACCTTCATAATCTTTTTGTTGTTCTTAGGGAATAGTTTAGAGGGACTGATTCCCTGCTATCATGGGTGAGATGTCTATGAAAAGGACAACCAGTGGGGGAAGAAAGCAAAATTTTGAATAAGATTTCTGAGACCCCCACCACAACCAAGAACAGAAACTCCACACTCTGCTGAGCAGAGAGTTGCACATTGGTCTCCTTACATCTGCCCACCGCAGTCTCTTGTTTGTCCTGAGGATGAGGAAACAAACAAGGCCCCCAACCGTCCCTCAGCACTCACTTGAAGGGGTGGCCTGCCTCTCCACACCTGTGGGTATTTCTAGTCGGGTGGGACGAGAGACCGAGAAAAGAAATAAGACAGAGAGACAAAGTATGGAGAAACAACAGTGGACCTAGGTGACCAGCACTCAGCATACCAAGGACCTGCATCAGCACAGGCCTCTGAGTTCCCTCAGTTTTTATTGATTATTATTTTTATTATTTTAGCAAAAAGGAATGTAGCAGGAGGGCAGGCTGATAATAAGGAGAAGGTCAGCAAAGAACATGTAAGCAATAGAATCTTTGTCATAAGGAAGTTCAAGGGAAGGTACTATGACTGGACATGTACGTAAGCCAGATTTATGTTTCTCTCCACCCAAACATCTCAGTGGAGTAAAGAATAACAAGGCAACATTGCTGCAAACATGTCTCGCCTCTCACCATAGGGCGGTTTTTCCCCCATCTCAGAATTGAACAAATGTACAATCGGGTTTTATACCAAGACATTCAGTTCCCAGGGGCAGACAGGAGACAGCGGCCTTCCTCTGTCTCAACTGCAAGAGGCTTTCCTCTTTGACTAATCCACCTCAGCACAGACCCTTTACGGGGGTCGGGCTGGGGGACGCTCAGGTCATTCTCCTCCCAAGAGGCCACTTTTCAGACTATCACATGGGGAGAAACCTTGGACAATACTCTGCTTTCAAGAGCAGGGCTCCCTGTGGCTTTCCACAGTGCATTGTGCCGCTGGTTTATTGAGACTAGAGAATGGCGATGACTTTTACCAAGTCTACTGCTTGGAAACATCTTGTTAACAAGGCATGTCCTGCACCCCTAGATCCCTTAAACCTTGATTTCATACAACACATGCTTTTGTGAGCTTCATGTTGGGTCAAAGTGGTTGGTTCAAAGTGACTGGGGCAAAGCTACAGATTAACAACATCTCAGCAAAGCAATTGTTGAAAGTACAGGTCTTTTTCAAAATGGAGTCTCTTATGTCTTTCCTTTCTACATAGACACAGTAAGAGTCTGATCTCTCTTTCTTTTGCCTACACTCGCTGAACTGCCCCTACTCTCTGCTGGGACATGACCACGGAGAACAGGTCCACTGTCCTACCTGCTTGGTGCACCATGGAGGCTCAGACTCTGTCCTCAAGGCTGGCAAGAAGACAGGGTGAGAGATGAGCCCCCGATACAGGTGACGGGAGTGGAGCCCACAGGACTGCAACCTCACACTGCAGGGCTGGAGGCACAGACGGAGTATTTACTATTCTGTGGCCTGGGGGCTCAAGGCACAGAGCTCCTCATTAGCCTAAGTCGCCCAAGTTCCCCAACCTCTAAGGATTTCCTCATAATATTGCAAGAAGAACAGAAAAGTGAGCGTCCACAGAAGCATTGGGGCTCTCCCTCTAATCAGGAGAAAGCTGGAGTGTATTCTTCGCTTCTTTCTTTTCTTTTTAAACATCCAACTGCTTTAATTTTCATCTTTTATTATGGGAAAATATACCACGTATAAATATTAAAAATTGTAAATATGTATTAGTTCATATAGAATGGCCAGTATACACATTTACAATTTCCACTGTTTTTCAGTTTACAGTTTAATGACATTAAGTACATTCACATTGTTTAGAACCATCACCGCCATCGTCTCCGGAACAGTTTTATCTTTCAAAATGGAAATTCTACCCATTCACCAAGCTCTCCATTCCTCTCTCTCGCCCACCCCTGGGGGCCACCTTTCTAGTTTGCAACTCTATGGGTTTCACTACTCTAGACACTTCATAGAAAAGTGGAATCATACCGTGTTTAATTTTTTTGTTTTGGAGACAGAGTCTTTCTCTGTCACCCAGGCTGGAGTGCAGTGGCGTGATGTCACCTCACTGCAACCTCCACATCGTGGGTTCAAGCGATTCTTGTGTCTCAGTCTCCCGAGTAGCTGGGATTACAGTCGTGCGCCACCACGCCCAGATAATTTTTGTATTTTTAATAGAGACGTGCTTTCATCATATTAGCCAGGCTGGTCTCGAACTCCTGACCTGAAGTGATCCGCCTGGCACAGCCTCCCAAAGTGCTGGAGTTACAGGTGCGAGCCACCGAACATGGGCCTGTTTATCCTTTTGGGATTTATTTATTTCACTGACGATAGTGTCTTCAAGGTTCATCCATGTTGCCGCCTGCGTCAGAAGTGCCTCTCTGTGTTTTTTTTGTTTTTTGTTTGTTCGTTTGACTTTGTTTTGTTTTGTGTTTCCATGGAGTCTCACTCTGTCGCACAGGCTGGAGTGCAGTGGCACAATCTGGGCTCACTGCAACCTCCGCTTCCTGGGTTCCAGAGATTCTTGTGCCTCAGCCTCCCGAGTAGCTGGGACTATAGGCACACACCACCACGCTCATCTCATTTTTTGCATTTTGAGTAGAGACAGGGTGTCACCAAGATGGCCAGGCTGGTCTTGAATTCCTGACCTCAGGTGATCCGTCCACCTCGGTCTTCCAAGACGCTGCGATTACAGGCGTGAGCCACCGCACCGGCCAGAAGTGTCTGCCTTTTCAAGGCTGAATAGTCTTCCATTGTATGAAGGAACTGCAGTGTGCTTTTTCATTCATCTGTCCACAAACCCTTGGGTTGCTTCCACATTTTGGCTGTTGTGAATAATGCTGCTATGAATATGGGTGTACACAAATCTGTCTTCCACTCCTGGCTTCTAATTCTTTTTGGTAGGTACCCACAAATGTAACTGCGGGAACATCTGATCATTCTAATTTTTCCAGTACATGCCATGCCATTTTCCCCATTCCTTCATGGTTTTACATTCCCTCCGATCATATTCGAGCATTCCTATTTCCCTCTAGTCTCTCCAATGCTTGTTTGTTTATCATATCCATCCTAATGTTTGGTAACACATTCTTGGTTTGATTTGCGCTTCCCTAGGATGAGTGATTTTGAACATCATTTTAGATGCTTATTGGCCATTGCAATATCTTCTTTAGGGACACGTCTACTTGAGTCTTCTGACCATTGTTGATGGGATGCTTTGGGTTTCTTGTTTAGTTCTAGCTGTTCTTTATATATGATGGATATCAACCTCTTTTCAGATATATGCTTTGCAAATATTTTTCCTAATTCATGGGTTATCTTTTCACTCAGTTCGCAGTGTTTTTTGCTGCACAAAAGTGTCTGTCATGTAGATGTAATCCAAGGAATATAATTTTCTTTGTTGCCTATGCTTTTGGTGTCATATCCCAGAGAACATTGCCCAATCTGATGTCATGAAAGCGTGGCCAATGTTTTCTTTAAGGCATATGACACTTTTAGCGCTTGGGGTGAGGTCTTTGATCCAGTTTGTGTGAATTTTTGCACCTGGTGTGACATAGGGTCCACCTTCATTCTTCTGCATGTGGAAATCAAGTTTCTCCAACACCATTTCTTGAAAAGGCTGCTTTTCCACCAATGAGCTTTCTTAGCACTCATGTGAAAAATCATTTGAACATATAGGTGGGAAGGTATTTCTGGGCTCCAAAACAAACAAACAACAATAGACAACAGATAAGGATACAGCATGGGCAGGGCGCGGTCGCTCACCCCTGTAATCCCAGCACTTTGGGAGGCCGAAGCTGGCAGGTCACCTGAGGTCAAGAGTTGAAGACCAGCCTGACCGACAGGGAGAAACCCCCGTCTCTACTAGAAATACAACATTAGCTGGGCGGGCTGGCACATGCCTGTAATCGCAGCTACTCGGGAGGTGGAGGCAGGAGAATCACTTGAACCCAGGAGGCAGAGGTTGCGGTGAGCCAAGATTGCACCATGACACTTCAGCCTGGGCAACAAGAGCGAAACTCCATCTCAAAACAAAAAAAAAAAACAAGCATGATTTCAAGAGCAGAAAGAGAAGAGCTTAAAAAGAAGCATAATGAGAAAGTTAGGAAGTTTCTTACCAAACCATCTGGAAATATGCAAGAAATTCTTGTGAACTAAAATTTTCATACTGTACTATCAAACGCTAGAACTCACTTATTCCATCTTTCTGTATTTCGGGACCCAATTATCCACTTGTCTTCATTCCCCATCCCACCCCTTTTCTTCGTAGCGCCTGCTAACCACGTTTATACTTTCCACCTTCCTCAGATTCCTTTTGTGTGTAGGTGTATGATGGAGTCTCTTTCTGTTGCCCAGGTTGGAGTACACAGGCACAATCCGGGCTCCCTGCAAGCTCCGCCTCCCGAGTTCAAGAGCTTCTTGGGCCTCCGCCCTCTGAGTAGCTGAGACTACAGGCACGCGTCACCAAGCCCGAGTAATTGTTTGTTTTTTCCGTAGAGACGGGGTTTCACCATGTTGGCCAAGCGGGTCTCGAACTCCTGGACTCAAGTGATCCGTGCGACTCGGCTTCCCACAGTGCTGGGATTACAGGCCTGAGCCACCACACCTGGCCAAGGTTTCCTTTTTTCTTCCTACGTAGAAGTGAGGACAGGAAATATTTGTCATTCTGTGCCGGGCTTCTTTCATTTAATATACAGACCTGCAATCTCATCCATTTTGTCTGCAGCAGAGAGGATGTTCTTCCTTTTTAGGCTGAATAATACTTCATTGGGTGTGTATACCACAGTTTCTTCATTGAAACAAATTTCTAAAAAGCACATATTTTTAAAGACTTGGAATGTGAAACTTCACGGATACTGTGCCTATTTTATTCTTTTCTATTTCCCATCTTATGTATATGCAAGTGTATAACAAAGCAGGAATCAATGTGTGTATAAATCTATAACTTCCACAAATGTAAAATGTAAATGCTAAGTGGTGGCTGGGCGCGGTAGCTCATGCCTGTAATCCCAGCATTTTGGGAGGCGGAAGCGGGCAGATCACCTGAGGTCGGGAGTTCAAGACCAGCCTGACCAAAATGGAGAAACACTGTCTCTATTAACAATACAAAAAAAAAAAAAAATAGCCAGGCCTGGTAGCGCATGCCTGTAATCCCAGCTACTTGGAAGGCTGAGACAGGAGAATTGCTTGAATACGGGAGGCAGAGGTTGCAGTGAGCCGAAACCGTGCCATTGAATTCCAGCCTGGGCATCAAGAGTGAAACTCTGACTCAAAAAAAAAGGAAAAGAAAGAAATAGAAAATGCGAAATGGTAACAAAAAACAGCATAATAAACATTTGTATGGTGTTGATGGACAATGCATTTGAACATAATATTTGAAGAAATCATATAACAATTAATTTCTATTCTTACTCATTGGAGCTTCATGCCTCTAAAAACTTCGTCATTGGAACCACCTCTGGGGCTTTAAAAGAAAAAAAAAAAATCCGCATACTCACACAGGTTCAAGGAAATCAGAATCTCAGGTATTGAGACCCAGGCCTCATCATGTGTAAGCTCCCCAGGTGATTTGACTCAAAGCCAAGATTGAGGAACGGCGACATGGATCTCTACACATAACCTGCCTAAATAGATTCTCTAGAAGCAGTTTGTAAAGTAATTCCACATGAACTGTGGAAGAGGATATGAATTTGATGTACAGTATGTCCTCACTTAACATCTTTGAAAGTCTCTTGGAAACTTCAACTTGAAGCAAAATTATGTATAGTGAAACCGCTTATTTTTCATCAACAGTATAACTACACAACTGTGAACAACCAATACTGTTGGAGGACCTCCTGTACATTGTTTCCATAAAGTCAGTTTTCAGGGAATTCCAAAACGAAGTGAGGACTTCGTGTATATAAAAAGATGGTAGTGATTCCACCTGGATGACAGGGTTATTGCTCAGAAACTAAAAGAGGCCGCCTAGGTAGAGAGGATTCTGTCATGAGGTTTCTGCTAAACAAAGGATCACAGAATCCTCACCCATTCCAGTTAAAGGCATAACGAAGAAAGCAATATTCACAAAGGAAATGCGGAAAGGAATAAAAGCCATCAAGCCACAAAAATAATGTGACTAAGGGGCAGGATTTGCAGATGTAGAGATTCAATGTGGTTGCCCTTTCTCACCCACACCAGAAAAAGGATGGAACAGATCATGAGATTCGACTGTTCTGCTGCGCAGCCTCCGCAGGGCACTTTGTATGTCCCTGTTTCTCAGGCTGTAGATGAAAAGGTTCAGCATGGGGGTGACCACAGCTTACATCACTGACACCACCACACCATTCCTGGGGGTTGGTGACATAGCTGAAGCCAGGTACATGTCAATGCCTGTTCCATAAAATCAGCAAACAAATGCTAGGTGAGAGCCATAGGTGGAGAAAGTTTTATACTTCCCATCTGACGATGACATCCTTAGAATGGAGGGGACAATTTTATAGTAAGATGAAAGGATCCCTGAAATAGGAAGAAAACCAAACATTGTACTATCGAAATATATGAATATGCTATTGATGACGCTGTCATAAGAGGCAAGTTTGAGAAGTTGAGAGGGGTCACAGACAAAATTAGAGATTTCCACATTCTTGATGATGGTGAATTGTAACACAATCCAACTGTGCAGCTGGGAATCCAACAGGCTAAGGAAAAAGGACACCAAAACAAAGAAGACACAGAGATGAGGATTCACGATGACTGGGTAGTGCAGAGGGCGATAGATGCCTACAAAGCAGTCATAGGCCATTACAGTCAGGAGCATGCCTTCTATACATGCAAAAAGGACCAAGAAAGACATCTGTGTCAGGCAGCCCGCATGAGAGATGACTCTGCTATACCACTGCATGTCCACAATCATCTTGGGAACCGTGGCCGAGGTGAAACCGATGTCAGCCCAGCACAGGATGGAGAGGAAGAAGTACGTGGGGGTGTGGAGGTGGGAGTCAGAGCTGACAGCCGGGATGCTGAGCAGGTTCCTCAGCACTGTGACCAGATACATGGACAGGGACAGGGACAGCAAAGCGAGGACCGGCTGCAGTTCTGGATCCTCTGAGAGTCCCAGGAGGAGGAATTCTCAGACACCTGTGAGATTCCGTGGCTCTGTGTGTCTTGGACACCTTGAGAAGGAAAGAGGATTGGAAAAATAAAAGATAAAAACCAGCCCTTAATGCTGGATGCAAGCAATTCACAAGGAACATCTTGACACTTGCGGACCATACACCGCCAGCAATGTTTCTCAGCTGTGACAATTCCAAAAATCTCAGAATTATTACATGATTTACTTTTTTGCTATACAAGGCTTTCTGTACACACTACTTTAGAGAAAATCCACTGGAGAATATTAGAAGACCGAAACGTCATATATAACAAATCCGTGATCTCAGTAAAATACGGCCTACTCTTTTCAGAAAAAATACAATGCAATGACAATGTCCTTCTCTCTTTAAGAAAAAGATCTCAGTCTAATTGAAAGAAATTAAGAAACCGTGAAATACACTCTACTTTATTCTGACACGGTGCTACAACTTCCATTGATGTAGAATATGTAAAAGGACGACTCAAGAGGTAGTACCCCATTATGTGAAAACGAAATCGAACCTTATAATTCTCAATCGGAAGACCTTTTCACATGCCTGTTACTTTTCATATTTATTATCATCCTTCGGTTTTCTGACATCATTTCTTCATAAAAGTACATGCACACTCAAAGATGGGAGCTGTGTTTCCAAATGAATAGAATCTAGAACTCTTGGCCCAGCACCATGGCTCACACCTGTAATCCCAGCACTTTGGGTGGCCGAGGCTGATGGATCACCTGAGGTCAGGAGTTCCAGACCAGCCTGGCCAACGTGGTGAAATCCCGTCTAGCCTGGCGTGGTAGCGGGTAATCCTAGCTACTCGGGAGGCTGAAGCAGGAGAATCCCTTAGAACCTGGAAGGCAGAGATTGCACACCCTGTGATAGGATTTTTGATATCCTAGGGAGATATTGCTCCTGAGAGTAGAGTGGGCGTACACCCTGTGATATTATTTGTAATATCCTAGAAAGATATTGCTCCTAATATCACCGTGGCTCTACACCCTGTGATCTTAATTGTAATATCCTACAGAGATATTACTTCTAATAATACAGTGGGTGTACACCCTGTGATATTATTCATAATATATTACAGAGATACGACTCCTGATATCACAGTGTGTGTACACCATGTTGGTACACCCTGTGATCATATTTGTAACAACTTAGAAAAATATTACAGCTAATATCAAAGTGGGTGTACACCCTGCGATGTTATTTGTTATCTACTAGGTAGATATTACTCCTAATATCACAGTGAGTGTACACCATGTGTGTACAGACTGTGAAATTATACATAATACCCTGGGAAGATATTACTCCTCATATCACAGTGGGTGTACACCGTGGGTGATTTTTTTTCCTAATATCCAGCGGGGGAGAGGATGATATTGCTTCCAATATCACAGAAGGTGTACAACCCCCTGTGATATTGTTCCTAATATCCAGGGAAGGAGAGGATGACATTATTTGCAATATCACTGGGGGTGTACCACCTCCCGCCGGGATATTGTTCTTAATATCCGGAGGTGGAGAGAATGTTACTCCCAATATCACAGGAGGTGTACACCACCCCTATTTGTAAACACCCCCTGTGATATTATTCCAAATGGCCTGTGAAAGAGTAACCATGACTCCCTTTATCGCAGGGGGTGTTCAGCCCTGATGATATTGTTTTCTAAAATCCACGGAAGGAGAGTATGCTATTACTCCCAATATCGAAGGGGTTGTACACCCTTTTGTGTTTTTGTGCCCAATATCCAGGAAAATAGAGGATGATATTACTCCCAATATCGAAGTAATCGTGCAGCACCCCTGTGATATTCTTCCTAATATCCAGAAAGGAAAAGAATGATATTACTCCCAACAGGGTAGGAAACGTATACCCGCGCTGTGATATCTTTCCCAGTATCCAGGTGGGGAGAGGATCATATTACTTCCAATGTCGCAGGGTGTGTACACCCCCTCTGTGATCTCGTTGCTAACATCCAGGTTTGGGGAGGACGACATTACTCCCAATATCGCAGGGGGAGTACACTTCCCCGTGACCATGTTAGTCATTTCCTGGGTGGACAGGGTGATCTCACTCCCAATATCGCAGGGGGGTGTACACACCCCTGTGAAAATCTTCCTTATATCCAGAGGGAGAGAGGATGATATTACTCCCAGTACCGCAGGGGGTTTACACAGCCCTGTGATACTCTTCCTAATATCCACAGGGAGAGAGGATGATATGACTCCCAATATCGCAGAGAGTGTACACAACCCTGTGATATTGTTCCTAATATCCAGAGCGAAAGAGGATGACATGACTCTCAATATCGCAGAGGGTGTACACCCCTCCTGTAATATTGTTCTGAATACCCTGGGAGGGAGAGGATAAGGTTACGTTGAATATCGCAGGGAATGTACACCCACCCCCTCTGATACTCTTCCTAATGTCCAGGGGAAGAGAGGAAAATTTCACTCCCAATATCACAGAGGCAGTACACCCCACCTGTGATGTTGTTCCCAATATGCAAGGGGGCAGAGGATGATACTACTCTCAATATCGCAGGGCTGTTCACATCCCCAGTGACATTTTTTCCTAATATCTACGGGAGAGACAATTCTATGACAGCAAAGGTCTCAGGGTCTGTACATCCCTTCCTGATATTGTACCTAATATCCAGGGGAGAAGAGGATGATAAAAAATATGAAAGGGGGTGTGCATCCCCCACCCCTACTATATTGTTCTTAATAATTGTGAGGGGAGACGATGATATTACTCCAAATATCGCAGGGTTTGTTCACAACCCCCTGTGATATTGTTTGTGATATCCAGGAGGGGAGAAAATCATATTACCTCCAATATTGCAGGTGGTGTATACCCCACCAGAAATATGGCACCGAATATCCAAAGAGGGAGAGGATGGTATTCATACCAATATCGAAGTGTGTGTACACGCCCCTTGTGATATGGTTTTTAATATCAGTGGGCGGGAGGATGATATTAGTCCCAACATCCCAGAGGGTGTACACTACCCCTGTGATATTGTCCCTAACTTCCAGAGGGGAGAGGATGATATCACTCCCAATATCTCAGAAGTTTTACATCCCCCGTGATATTGTTCGTCATATCCAGGGAGGCGCAGGATGACATTCCATTGAATTTCGCGACAGGCATACACGCACAGTGTGACATTGTTCCTAATATCCAAGAAGGCAGAGGATGATATTACTCCCAATAAAGCAGTGGGTGTACATCACCCTTGTGTTATTGTCTCTAATATCCGGGGCCGGGGGAGGTGGGGAGAGGATAACATTCCCTCAAATTTAGCAGGTGGTTTGACGCCCCTTGTGGTGTTGTTTTAAATATCCAGCGGGGAAGACAACAGTACTATTTTTGATAGTCAGATTCATCCGCTCCACCTTTCCAGAACTCTGAGGCCGGGAGGCGGCATGCAGTTTCCGTGTGATCCCCAATATCTTTGCCGTCTTCTGTACCAAGGCAGCCAAAAACGCAGGCCCGTTGTCTGAGCCGATCCGTAAGGGCGGTCGAAATCTAGGAATCACATCTCAAAGAAGCACAGTGGTTACTTCACGAGTTTTCTCAGTTCGTGTTGGATAGGCCTCCACCCACCCAGAGTAGGTACGCCCAAGAACTAGTACATACTTGTTACCTCCAAACATTGGCACCTCTGTGAAGTCCACCTGGAGACCTTCAAAGAGGGCTGCTCCCTAAGCTCATATGCCGGGCGGAACGGCTGGACCTTGCCTCGCATCATGCTGTCAGCAGGTAACACACCTCTGCCTCACCGTTATGGCAAGGGCTGACAGAGGCGAGATGTAGAAATACCAGCCTAACAAATTTCCAGTGACTCCTGACCTCAATGGGTGGTTTCTTGCACAGCCAGTACAACTGCAGCTCCTAGCAGCTGTGGCACAGCTAGTCTCCCATCTGGTAACCGAATCCATCCTTCCTCCATCACTTGTCCTTCCCTCTACCTGGAGAAAGTCCTTTTCTTCTTTAGAAGAAGTAGGTCCAAGATCAGGTGCTTGAGGGAACACTGATGCCCAGAAGGGGGCAGATGCTGCTTTTCGAACCTCTGAGTCAGAGTGGGAATTCCCCAAACCCAGCAAGATGGAAGCTCTCTGGTGTCCTCTGCAATGCATAACTGCCACCTTGTGGGGTTTCAATACTGCTTCTCATCATTGCAAGATTTCTTGTTGATATTTTCTGTCTTTTCCCCCAGAGTTCAGTAGGCCCTTTTCTATCATGCTCCATGCACTTGAAGAGTTGAAAAGACATACCGAGAATCAGTGTAAGTATTGACAGTCTCACACCCACTGAGTTCTAAGGCCCGAATGAAAGCAATGAGTTCAGCCTTCTGGGCTGAAGTGGTCTGGGGCAACGATCTGGCTTCAACAACAGGGTCCAGAGTTATCACTGCATACCCTGCACCTCTCTCTCCTTGGGGGTTGAAGAAGCTGCTCCCATACACGTATAGTTCCCAGTCTACTGATGCCCAAGCTTGGTCCCGGAGGTCAGGTCTGCTAGAGTCAACTGAATCCAACACTTCTACACAATCAGGCTCGACAGGGCTCTCTGATACCGGGAGCAAGGAGGCGGGGTGTAGGGTGTTGCAAACTTCAATGGTTATACAGGGATTTTCGCAGAGCAGTTTGGTACTTGGTGAGTCTGACATTCATTAGCCAATTGTGTCCTTTAGTATTCATTAAAGTCACCACAGCACGGGAGGCCTTTATGTTCAGGTTTTGCCCAAGAGTCAGCTTATTTGCTTCTTGTAGTGGCAGGGCAGTTGCTGCCAAGGCCCTCAAACAGGGGGGCCATCCTTTAGAAACCCCGTCTAGTTGTTTAGAGAGGTAGGTCACCGGCCTCAGCCAGGGCCCCACAGTTTGGGTTCAAAGTCCAGCTGCCATCTTTTCTCTCTCTGATGCATACAATGGAAAAGGCTTTGTCAGATCAGGTAGCCCCAGGGCTGGGGCTGCCAGAAGTTTTTCCTTTAACTCATGAAAGAGTTGCTGTTGTTGGGATCCACATTCCAAAGGTTCCCGGTCCCCGCCCCCTTGGTGACCTCATACAAAGGCTTAGCTAATACTGCAAAGTTTGGGATCCACAGTCTACAAAACCCCACAGCTCCTAAGAATTCTCTCACCTGCTTTCTGCTCTTAGGCTCAGCTAGATGGCAAATGACCTGCTTTCTTTCTGATCCTGGGCTGTGTTCCGACCCCTGTTGGATAGTCAATCCCAAGTAACTTACCTGCCATCGGCAGATCTGAGCTTTCTTCTTGCACACCTTCTACCCACAGTCCTCCAGGTGCCGGTGTAGGGCATCTGTTCCCTTGGCACACCCGACTGCCGTGGGGTGTCCCAGCAGAAGGTCATCAACATACTGGAGCAACACGCAGCCTAGGTCTCTGGTGGGAAACTTCTGGGGGTCTCGAGCCAACGCCTCCCTGAAGATGGTGGGGGAGTTCTTGAACCCTTGGGGAAGCCCGGTCCAAGTGTACTGAGTAGTGACACCTGACTCCGGATCTTCCCACTGAAAGGCAAACAGCTTCTGCCTCTCAGGGGCTAATCTGATAGGAAAGAAAGCGTCTTTCAGGTTCCAGAAGGTGAACCAGCTGTCTTCAGCTGGCGGCAACACCAATAATGTGGACGGGTTAGGTACTGTTGGATGTAAAGTCAGTGTAGCTTGATGGAGCAAGCGCAAATCCTGTACCGGCCGGTAGTCCTTGGTCCGTGGCTTGGGAACAGGCAGGAGGGGAGTGTTCCATGGAGACTGACAAGGAACAATAATTCCAAAAGTTCTTAGGTGCTTGAGACGCACCTGGATACCTTGAAGGGCTTCTCTGGGGACCAGGTCCTGTTTTCGCCTCACCGGCTGGGCCCCAGTCTTAACTGGCCAATCCCGGAGGGTTCTCTTCTGCCCGTACTCTTGGCCACCGCTTAGCCAGAGCTGGTCTTCTCTCTTGGCCTGGCTCAGTTAAGAAAACTCTCCATTCCTCATCTCCGGGGACCATAAGGGTCATAATGACTCCTGTTCCGGGTAACTTTAGCAGCAAAGAGCCGTGGTCTGTCAAACACATAGTGGCTCTCAGCTTGCTGAGCAAGTCCCTTCCCAAAAAGGTCAAGGGACAGTCAGGCATGTACCAAAACTGATGAATGACTTTATGTCCTCCTACAGTACAAGTCCGAGGCAAGCAGAAAGCTTGCTTTGCTGAAACCCCTGTGGCTCCGATGACATCAATAGTCTTTTTGGATAAGGGGGCGACCGGGGCGGTTACTAGCAAATGTTCAGCACCGCTATCTACAAGAAAGTCAATGTCTCCACCCCCAACTGTCATTCTGAGCAGAGGCTGTTTGGGTACGCTTGAGCCGGGTCTCCCTCAGTCCAAGAACCCTTCTGCCAGGTTGAGCAGGGCCCCTTCCTCCTTGTCCGGGGCCTCCTGCTCTGAGTCACCTTGTTTTCTTTTGAGCTGAGGGCATTTGTTCTTCCACTGTCCTATTTCTTTACAATGAGCACACTGGTTACACTGCAAACTCTGACAGCCAAGCTGAGTTTCTTTCCCAGGACCCCCCTTCCCTTGCCTCTTTGGGGGGGCCCCTCTGATTGCTGCAGCTGACAAACAGGTCGGCGTGTCGCCAGGCCTGACCTCCATTCTCTTTGCCGTTTTCCTTATGGCTTACTGTATCCTTGTTTACAAACACCTGGCTAGCTATTTCTGGTAATTGTGATGGATTCATCCCTGCAAGCCCAGCCTGTTTCTGCAGTTTTCTTCTCATGTCTTCTGCGCTTTGACGGACTAAAGCCATGTGAATCATGCGCTGATTTCAGGGCTATCAGGATCAAAGGGAGTATACATACGATAGGCCTCACACAATCTCTCGTAGAATTGTGCTGGACTTTCTTCTTCTCCCTGAATGACCTCAGAGAGCTTGTTAACATTTGTGGCCTTCTGAGCTCCCCTCATTAATCCTTCCAAGAGAGCTTCCCTGTCTCGGTTTAGCCTTTGCATCTCCTCTCTTTCATGTGGGTCCAACTGGGGGTCGGTTCCTGGCAACTGGGTCCTTCCATACTCTTGGGGGTTTTGATAATCAGCTGGTGCATGTTCCTCTAGCCACTTAGTTGCTGCTTGGAGGACTCTCCGCCTTTCTTCGCTGTTAAAGAGGAACATGAGCAACTGGCGCCAATCAGCCCAGGTGGGGTTGTGGGTCTGGATAACAGCTTGGAGCAAATCAGTTAGGGCTTGTGGCTTTTCGGTATAGGGCGGTGTATTGTTTTTCCAGTTGAGAAGGTCGACGCAGGTGAAGTGCTGGTACCAAAAAACATGCCTCTCTACCACGTGACCAACCTCATCTATCCCAGTCTACCGCTGCTCTCTCAGGGGCATCTGTGTCCCCGTTTAGGGTCATAAACGAGCTGCCGAGGGAGGGGTGTAATGGCGCAGGGCGACTTACGGCAATTAATAATCTCAATTATTAATTGACACTAATAATTATAAATATTAATAACCCATAATATAATTTTTAAAATCAATACCGATAATAATGATAACTGATATTAAATAGTTATACTAACGATAACAATACATGATTAATATTAATGATTAATGACGCCTGATATTAATAACTGATAATGATCTTATTCATTAGAAAACAGTAATATTAACTCCTAATAATTCATATTAATATTAATAATCTGAAAACTTTTTATTAGCAATTATTTCTTAATAATAATATTAATATCGGTCATTCATATTCCTGTTAATAATAAATGAGGAATAATTCATACAAATATTACGCAGTAATACCTCAGTGGGTGTACACCCAGCTGCGATATTGCTCCTAATGTCCAGGGAGGGAGAGAGCATGATATTAAGTTCAATATCGCAGTAGGTGTACACACAGCCCGTGATATTGATCCGAATATAATCTCCAGGGGGTGGAGTATGACGTTACTCCCAATATAGCACTGGGTGTGCATCCACCACCCGGTGATTTTGCTCCTAATATTCACGGAAGAAGAGAATGCTATTACTCCCAACATCGCAGGAAGTGTCCACCCCCGTGTAAGATAGTCCTTAAAAATATTCCAAGGCGGAGGGGGTGATATGACTACATATATGGCGGAAAGTGGACACCCCCAAGGATATCCTTCCCATGATCCTGGAAGGAAGAGGATAATATTACTTTCAATATCACAGAAGGTGGACTCGCCCCCAATGATATTGTTTCCAATTGCAACGTGGGAGAGAAAGACATGACACTCGATATCCCAGGGAGTAGAAACACCCCAGTGATACTGTTCCTAATATTCAGGCAGGAAGAGGATGATATGACTCCCGATACAGACAGGTGTACAACTTCTGTACACCCAGGGTGTACACAGGTCTGTGAAACAGTTCATAATCTGCAGAGGGGGAGATGATATTACTCACAATATGATAAACAGGCTGTGAGTCCACCGCGGATCCTAAGAGCCAGGCGGGCAAGAGGGACTGGCTCTTACTCCCCGCATCGCGGGGGGCGCCTCGCCCCCCTGCGATGGGGGTCCTAAGAGCCAGGCGGGCAAGAGGGGCTGGCTTTTACTCCCAGCTTCGCGGGGGGAGCCTCGCCCCCCTGCGATTTGGATCGTAATATCCGGCGCGGGGGAGAAGCGGGTGATATTACTCCCCGCATCGCGGGGGGCGCCTCGCCCCCCTGCGATTTGGATGGTAATATCTGGGGGGGAGAGGCGGGTGATATTACTCCACGCATCGCGGGGGGCGCTCTCTCCCCCCTGCGATGTGGCTCGTAATATCCAGGTGGCGAGAGGGGGTGATATTACTCCCTTTCTCCTAGTATGTTTTCTCTACTGCCACACTTGGTTAACACCCTGGGACATTATTTTCCATATTCTAGGAAGGTGTCACTGTTTAAGTTCCAGGGGGTATACACCCTGTGATATTATTCATGTTATTGTAGCGAAATGTGAATCCTGATATCACAATTCTCTACACACTCTGATATTATTCGCAATACCCTAGCGGGACGTTAATAATAATGTCACAGTGTGTGTACAGCTTGTGCTATGATTCTTAATCTCCTAAGGGGGGGTTGATTTTTTTGTCACACGGAGTATTTTCCCTGTGGTATGATTCGGAATATCCTGGAGGGATGTCACTCCTTATGTCACAGGGTTTGTATGCCTTTTCAAATTACTCGTATTACCCTTGTGAGATATCACTCCTCATATCACCGAGGGTATACACTCTGTGATATTATCGTCATATTCTAGGGAAATGTTGCTTTTAATGTCACAGATGTTGCTCACCTTGTGAAATTTTTCATTATAGTTTTCTGGGATGTGACTCCTAACGTCACACAGGGTGTACACACAGTGATATTACGTGTAATCTTCTATAGAAATGTTACTCGTAAATCACAGGTCCTGTACACCCTTTAATATTCTTCGTCATATTCTCGGAAAACGTGACTACTAATGTGTCAGGGCGTGGAGACCCTGTCAAAAAATTCGTAATATCCCAGCGGGAGTTCACTACTAATTTCACAATGCGTGTACACCCTTTGATATTGTTCGTATTATCCTAAAGAGATGTGACTCCTGATGTCCCAGTGCATGTACATTCTCTGATATTATTCGTTATATCCTCGGGGGATGTGACTTCTAATGTCACACGGCGTGTACTCCCTGTGTTCTATTTCATAATATCCTAGGGCAATTGTACTGTTAATGACACGGGGGTGTACACATTCTGATATTATTCATGATATTCTAGAAGGATGTTACTCCTAACGTCACAGGGGTGTACACCCTGTGATAGTATTCATAATTTCCCAGGGGTCTATACTCCTAATGTCACAGAAGATAGCACCCTATGACATTATTCGTAATATTCTGATGAGATGATTCTCCTAATATCACAGGGGGAGTACACCCTGTGATAGTATTCTTACTATTCTAGGGGGATGTCACTCTTAATGTCACAGGTGTGTTACTTCTGTGATATTATTGAAAATATGCTAGCTGGATACTACTACTAATGTCACAATGCGTGTACACCTTGTGATATTATTAGTAATATTCTGGGGGGATGTTACCCCTAACGTTACAGGGGGTGTACAGCCTTCGATATTATTTGTAATCTTATAGAGAGATATTACTTTCATGATCACAGTGGGTGTACACACATGGGCTACACCCACTGGGATATTATTTGTAATATCTGAGGGAGATATAACTCCTAATATCACAGTGGGTGTACCCCATGTGTGTACATCCTGTGATATTATTTGTAATATCCATGGTAAACACTACTTCTAGTATCCCACAGAGGGTACACCCTGTGATATTTTTCATAAAATCATAGGGAGATATTGCTTCTAATAACACAGTGGGTGTACACCATGTGTGTACACTCTGTGATGTGATAGCTTATATCCTAGGGAGATATTCCTTCTAATATCACAGTGAGTGTGCACCCTGTGATATCATTTGTAATCTCCTAGAAAGATGTTGCTGTTAATATCACAGAGGGTGTGCCCCCAGTGGCATCATTCGAAATATCCTAGGGAGATGTTACTCGTAATGTCACAGGAGTTGTACACCCTGTTATATTGTTGTAATATTCTAGGGGGGTTGTTACTTTTAAAGTCACAGGAGTGTACACTCTGTGATGTTATTCGTAATACCCTAGGAAGGGGTTACTCCTAATATCACATGGGTTATCCTAGGAAGAGGTTACTCCTAATATCACACCCTGTGATAGCATTCGGAATATCCAAAAGGGATGTTACTTTTAATGTCACATGGGGTGTACACCCTTTGATAATATTCGTAAGATCCTAGGGACAGATGACTTCAAATATCACTTTGGGTGTACACACATGGGGTACACATTGTGTGTGAACACCTCCTGTGATATTATCCATAATATCCTAGGAAAATGGGACTCCTAATATCACGGTCAGTGTACACCCTGTGATATTATTGGTAATATCCTAAAGAGATGTTACCACTAAGGTCACAATGTATGTACGCCCCCTGATATTATTCGTTATATCCTCGGGGGATGTTACTCCTAATGTCACATGGGGTGTACTCCCTGTGACATTATTCGTAATATCCTAGGGGGATGTTACTTTCAATGTTGCCGGGGGTGTATATCATGCATATTCAACGCCTGTGATACTTTTCCTAATATCCTAGGGGCATGTGCCTCCTAATGTCACATGGGGTGAACACCGTATGTGTACACCTGCTGTGGTATTATTCGTAATATCCTAGAGGAATATTACTGCTGATGGCACAGGAGATGTACACCATGTGTGTCAACCGCCTGTGTCATTATTCGTAATACCCTAGGGGGATGTTTCCTTGAATGGCACAAAGTGTGCGCAAAAGGTCACAGAAGGTGTACACCTTGTGATGTTATCTGCAATACCCTAGAAGGATGTTACTCCTAATATGTCACAAGGGTGTACATACTTTGATATTATTTGTAATCTCATAGAGAGATCTGAGTTCAAATGTCACAGTGGATGTTCACACATAGTGTATACCCTGTGATATTATTCGTAATATCCTAGGGAGATGCAACTCCTGATATCACAGTGCGTGTACCCGGTGTGTGTACACCCTTGATACGAGTCGTGATATCCAGGGTAAATATGACTCCTCATATCACACAGTGTGCACACCCTGTGATATTTTTCATAATATTTAAGGGAGATAGTGCTTCTAATATCACCGTGGGTGTACCCCATGTGTGTGTACTCTGTGACAGTATTTTTTATATCCTAGGGAGGTATTACTCTTAATGTCACAGTGGGGTGTTCACCCTGTGATATCATTCTTATTTGACCTTGCTGTCTTTGTTAACCCACCCTACAAAAGGAATGGAACAGATAAGAAGGTATTGAGATGAGACTGTGCTGCCTTGCGGCCGCCGCAGGACACTTTTAATATCCCCGTTTCTCAGGCTGTAGATGAAGGGGTTCAGCATGGGGGTGACCACCGTGTACATCACTGAGGCCACTGCACCCTTTCTCGGGGAAGATGACACATCTGAACCGAGGTACTCTCCAACGCCTGTTCCATAAAATCAGCAAACAACTGACAGGTGGGACCCTCAGGTGGAGAAGGTTTATACTTCCCACCTGATGATGAAACCCTCAGAATGGAGGAAACCATTTTACAGTAAGAGAAAAGGGTCCCCGAGATGGAAAGAAAACCAAATACGGCAGCAGGGAAATACATGCTGATGTTCCTGGTGAAGGTGTCACAACATGCAAGATGGGGGAGTTGAGAAGGTTCCCAGAAGAAATTAGGAATTTCCACATCCTTGAAGCAGGTCATTTGTAAGGCAATCAAGTTGTGCAGCTGGGAGTCTAAAAGACTGAGGGAAAAAAAAAAAAGACAACAAATCTAGGAAGCCACAGAAACACGGGTTCAAGATGGCTGAGCGATATAGAGGGTGACAGATGGCTACAAACCGGTCATAGGCCATCACACTCAGGAGCATGTCTCTCTTCCATGCCTCCAAAAATGGCAAAGAGAGACATCACAGTCAGGCAGCCTGCATAGATGACTCTGCTGTGAGACTGGATGTCCACAATCATCTTGGGGACCGTGGTGGAGGTGAAACCGATGTCAGGCAAGGACAGGTTGGAGAGGAAGAAGTACATGGGGGTGGGGAGGTGGGAGTCAGGGCTGACGTCCAGGATGATGAGCAGGTTCCCCAGCACCATGACGAGGCACATGGACAGGAACAGCCCAGCGACGACCGGTTGCAGTTCTGGATCCTCTGAGAGTTCGAGGAGGAGGAATATAGAGACATCTGTTATACTCTGTGGGTCTGTATCGTTTGGATACAACCCTCTTTTGCCTGGAAAAGATGGTTGCAAAATCGGAAACAAGTAAACCAATACTCAGCATTGTGTCTGCATTTTGGATATAAGCAATACACAAGTCATGTTTTCAGATTTCCGAGCAATCCACACTCCATAATATTTTGTAGTTCTGACAAGGTCAATTGCCTTATAATGCTTTCAACATCCATTGCTGTGTTATTCACGTCTTGCTGTACACACCTGCCTTAGAGACATTAGCTTCAAGAACGTTCCAAGAGCCAGATCATCATATATAGCACATTCGTAATTGCTAGAAAATACAGCCTATCTTTTCTGAAGAAAAAGATGTAATAAAACCATTGTCTTCACTTTAAGAAAAAGGTTATCCTAATTAAAGGAAATTAAGAACTCAAATATTTTATTTATTCTACTAGATTGATACAAATTCCCTTGATTTAGAACATTCGTAAACACTGTATAACAGCTGAGACCATGCCATCTGGAAATGAAATGAAAGTTGATAGTTCATAAGCAGAAAATAGTTCCACATGCCAGTTAGGTCCTAGTGATTTCATCATTCTGTTTTCGGACTTTTCTCCTTCGAGAGAGTAATTGCTTACTCAAATCGGTGGGTCTTGTTTTAAAATTCATGGAAGCTCTGACTCCTGTCCTTGGCTTAGGTGGACTTAGGTTTCATCAGAACGTTTGGCCGGATGCGGTGGCTCACGCCTGTAATCCCAGCACTTTGGGAGGCCGAGGAGAGCGGATCACGGGGTCAGGAGATCAAGACCATCCTGGCCAACATGGTGAAACCCCGCCTCTACTAAAAATACAAAAACTTCGCCCGGTATGGTGGCGCGCGCCTGTAGTCCCAGCTACTCGGGAGGCTGAGGCAGGAGAATGGCTTGAACCTGGGAGGCAGAGACTACAGTGAGCCGAAATCACACCACTGCACTCCAGCCTGGGCAACGAGAGCAAAACTCCGTCTCAAAAAACAAAAAACAAAAAGCATCAAGTAAGTCAAAGTCACGCTGATGACAGCCAATTTTGGTGAAGCAAGGAAGTGTCAATTCAATCATTAACATACATTTTGACTTTTGCTGTCTCCTAGGTGCCAAGCAAGATATAGGCTCTGGGGAATCAGAAACCAAAGAGACTCACTTGTTCCTCTCACAGTACTCAGTCCTTACTGAGAGAAGGACACAACAAAATGTCCTGTCTGGAATGCAGGGAAAGCAGAACTTCAGGTCAGGGGATATTTCCATTGAACTGTGTGGAGTTGAAGCTGAACATCTTAAGGAATGTATCTAAAATTCACTTTGCCTTTACTTTATGCATCCGTCACCTAGAGATCACGCAGCGGGCACCCACGATCGGCTTAATCATCACTCACTTCCATCGCATCCACTGGAAATCAAGTCAGATGAGAGTGCTGAGTCTCAGAGGATGGACGTCTCACCCCTTGCCATACAGAGAAGTAGAAAGCGTGGTATTCAAAATTCATGGCCAGACTCGAAGTCCCGGGTGCTATACTTCCTGGTCTTCCAACTCTCAAAAAGTTGTGGGTTTCTTTGGTTTTTGTTTTTGTTTTTGTTTTTGTTTTTGTTTTTGTTGTTTTGAGATGGAGTCTCGTTCCGTTGCCTAGGCTGGAGTGCAGTGGAGTGATCTCGGCTCACTGCAACCTCTGCATCCCAGGTTCAAGCTATTCTCCTGCCTCAGCCTGCCAAGTAGCTGAGATGACAGGCACCCGCCACTATGCCTGGCTCATTTTTTTCTATTTTGAGTAGAGACGTGGTTTCATCATGTTGGCCAGGCTGGTCTCGAATTCGTGACCTTGTGATTCGCCTGCCTCAGCCTCCCAAAGGGCTGGGATTACAGGCGTGAACCACCGCTCCCAGCTTCCAAAAGTTTTAAGCAGAGCTCAGAGGTCTTAACCACAAGCACATCAGAGGAGCATTTTTGAAACGCTTTCCAGCTTGCTCAATAGGAATGGAAGCCAAACTCCGAATTGATGACTCCTTTGAGGAAGTCGAGAGCTGTAAGGAAAGCCAGGAACAGGGGAAAGGGAGAGATGCGTCCTGAATGATCCTGTGCCAATTCTTTCTGGAATCCTCGATGTGATCTCAGCTGTCCTTTCCATACTTGACACAGTGATTGTACACCCACTGGTCTAGCTGTGGTCTACAAGGAACCCCCAAAGGGAAGGGCACAGTGAGGAGGGGCATCCACCTGAGTGATGAGAATTTGAGAGGGCAGGTTGGTTGCAGGGAAAGGACTGGCCAAATGTCATGTGTCTGGACTTAGACTGCCTGGTTCAAATTGGACTTCACCCTTTTTGACTTCATGATCTAGTACGAGTTATCTGAAAAGGCGTTGCTCCTTTTCTAGTCTGTAAAATCATCCTGAAGTGTGCACTAATAACGTGGAGACTAGGCAGATGAAATGAAACGAGCTGCATAGAGCACAGAGCTCAGAGCCTGGCCTTTAGGAAGCCCTCAGTAAGGGTTCATGATGCCATGGTGTCTGTCGTCATCCTCTTTATCCTCATCATCACCTTCATAATCTTTTTGTTGTTCTTAGGGAATAGTTTAGAGGGACTGATTGCCTGCTATCATGGGGGAGATGTCTATGAAAAGGACAACCAGTGGGGGAGGAAAGCAAAATTTTGAATAAGATTTCTGAGACCCCAAGAACAACCAAGAACAGAAACTGCACAGTCTGCTGAGCGGATAATTTGCACAGTGGTCTCCTCCCATCTGCCCACCGCACTCTCCTGTTTGTCCTGAGGAGGAGGAAACCAAACAAGGCTCCCGACCGTCCCTCAGCACTCACTTGAAGGGGTGGCCTGCCCCTCCACACCTGTGGGTATTTCTAGTCGGGTGGGATGAGAGACTGAGGAAAGAAATAAGACACAGAGACAAAGTATGGAGAAACAACAGTGAGCCCAGGTGACCGGCGCTCAGCATACCAAGGATCTGCACCGGCACTGGCCTCTGAGTTCCCTCAGTTTTTATTGATTATTATTTTTATTATTTTAGCAAAAAGGAATGTAGTAGGAGGGCAGGGTGATAATAAGGAGAAGGTCAGCAATGAAGATGTGAGCAATAGAATCTATGTCATCATGAAGTTCACGGGAAGGTACTATGACTGGACGTGTACATAAGCCAGATTTATGTTTCTCTCCACCCAAACATCTCAGTGGAGTAAAGAATAACAAGGCAGCATTGCTGCCAACATGTCTCACCTCCCACCATAGGGCGGTTTTTCCCCCATCTCAGAATTGAACAAATGTACAATCGGGTTTTATACCGAGACATTCAGTTCCCAGGGGGAGGCAGGAGACAGCGGCCTTCCTCTGTCTCAACTGCAAGAGGCTTTCCTCTTTGACTAATCCACCTCAGCACAGACCCTTTACTGGTGTCCGGCTCGGGGACGGTCAGGTCTTTCTCCTCCCACGAGGCCACTTTTCAGGCTATCACATGGGGAGAAACCTTGGACAATATGCCGCTTTCAAGGGCAGGGCTCCCTGCGTCTTTCCACAGTGTATTGTGCCCCTGGTTTATTGAGACTAGAGAATGGCGATGACTTTTATCAAGTCTACTGCTTGGAAACATCTTCTTAACAAGGCACGTCCTGCACAGCCCTAGATCCCTTAAACCTTGATTTCATACAACACATGTTTTTGTGAGCTTCAGGTTGGGTCAAAGTGGCTGGGGCAAAGCTACACATTAACAACATCTCAGCAAAGCGGTTGTTGAAAGTACAGGTCTTTCTCAAAATGGAGTCTCTTATGTCTTTCCTTTCTACATAGACACAGTAAGAGTCTGATCTCTTTTTCTTTTCCCTACACTCACTGAACTGCCCTTCCCCTCTGCTGGGCCATGACCACGGAGAACAGGTCCACTGTCCTCCCTGTGTGGTGCACCATGGAGGCTCAGACTCCGTTCTCAAGGCTGGCAAGAAGACAGGGTGAGACGTGAGCCTCCTGATACAAGTGACAGGATTGGAGCCCACAGGACTGGAACCTCACACTGCAGGGCTGGAGGCACAGACTGACTATTTACTATTCTGTGGCCTGGGGGGCTCAAGGCACAGAGCTCCTTATTAGCCAAAGTCACCCAAGTTCCCCAACCTCTAAGGATTTCCTCCTAATAATGCAAGAAGAAGAGAAAAGTGAGTGTCCATAGAAGCTTTGGGGCTCTTCCTCTAATCAGGAGAAAGCTGGTGTGTATTCTTCGCTTCTTTCTTTTCTTTTTAAACATCCAACTGCTTTAATTTTCATCTTTTATTATGGGAAAATATACCACGTATAAATATTAAAAATTATAAATATATATTAGTTCATATAGAACGGCCAGTATAAACCTTTACAGTTTCCACGCTTTTTCAGTTTACAGTTTCATGACATTAAGTACGTTCACATTGTTTAGCAACCATCACCGCCATCGTCTCCGGAACAGTTTTATCTTTCAAAATGGAAATTGCACCCATTCACCAAGCTCTCCACTCCTCTCTCTCGCCCACCCCTGGGGGCCACCTTTCTAGTTTGCAACTCTATGAGTTTAACTACTCTAGACACTTGATAGATAAGTGGAACCAAACCGTGTTTAATTTTTTTGTTTTGGAAACGGAGTCATTCTCTGTCACCCCGGCCGGAGTGCAGTGGCGTGATGTCCCCTCACTGCAACCTCCACATCGTGGGTTCAAGCGATTCTTGTGTCTCAGTCTCCCGAGTAGCTGGGATTACAAGCGCCTGCCACCACACCCAGCTAATTTTTGTATTTTTAATAGAGACCATATTGGCCAGGCTGGTCTCGAACTCCTGACCTGAAGTGATCCGCCTGGCTCAGCCTCCCAAAATGCTGGGGTTACAGGTGCGAGCCACTGAGCCTGGGCGTGTTTATCCTTTTGGGATTTATTTATTTCACTGACGATAATGTTTTCAAGGTTCATCCATGTTGCGGCCTGCGTCAGAAATGCCTCTCTGTTTTTTGTCTGTTTGTTCGTTTGACTTTGTTTTGTTTTGTGTTTCCATGGAGTCTCACTCTGTCGCACAGGCTGGAGTGTAGTGGCACAATCTGGGCTCACTGCAACCTCCGCCTCCCGGGTTCCAGCCATTCTCGTGCCTCAGCCTCCCGAGTAGTTGGGACTATAGGCACACGCCACCACGCTCGTCTCATTTTTTTGCATTTTGAGTAGAGACAGGGTTTCACCAAGATGGCCAGGCTGGTCTTGAATTCCTGACCTCAGGTGATCCGTCCACCTCGGTCTTCCAAGACGCTGCTATTACAGGCGTGAGCCACTGCACCGGCCAGAAGTGTCTGCCTTTTCAAGGCTGAATAGTCTTCTATTGTATGAAGGAACTGCAGTGTGCTTTTTCATTCATCTATCCACGAACCCTTGGGTTGCTTCCACATTTTGGCTGTTGTGAATAATGCTGCTATGAATATGGGTGTACACAAATCTGTCTTCCACTCCTGGCTTCTAATTCTTTTTGGTAGGTACCCACAAATGCAACTGCGGGAACATCTGATCATTCTGTTACTAATTTTTCCAGTAGACGCCATACTATTTTCCCCGTTCCTTCACGGTTTTACATTCCCTCTGATCATATCGAGCATTCCTACTTCCCTCTAGTCTCACCAATGCCTGTTTGTTTATCATATCCATCCTAATATGTGGTATCACATTCTTGGTTTGATTTGTGCTTCCCTAGGATGAGTGATGTTGAACATCATTTTAGATGCTTATTGGCCATTGCAATATCTTCTTTAGGAACACGTCTACTCGAGTCTTCTGACCATTGTTGATGGGATGCTTTAGGTTTCCTGTTGTTTAGTTCTAGCCATTCTTTATATGTGATGGATATCAGCCTCTTTTCAGATATGTGCTTTGCAAGTATTTTTCCTAATCCATGGGTTATCTTTTCACTCAGTTCGCAGTGTTTTTTGCTGCACAAAAGTGTCTGTCATATAGATGTAATCCAAGGAATATAATTTTCTTTTGTTGCCTATGCTTTTGGTGTCATATCCCAGAGAACATTGCCCAATCTGATGTCATGAAAGCGTGGCCAATGTTTTCTTTAAGGCGTATGACACTTTTAGCGCTTGGGGTGAGGTCTTTGATCCAGTTTGTGTGAATTTTTCCACCTGGTGTGACATAGGGTCCACCTTCATTCTTCTGCATGTGGAAATCAAGTTTCTCCAACACCATTTCTTGAAAAGGCTGCTTTTCCACCAATGGACTTTCTTAGCACTCATGTGAAAAATCATTTGAACATATAGGTGAGAAGTTATTTCTGGGCTCCAAAACAAACAAACAACAACAGACAACAGATAAGGATACAGCATGGGCCGGGCGCGGTTGCTCACGCCTGTAATCCCAACACTTTGGGAGGCCGAGGCGGGCGGATCACCTGAGGTCAGGAGTTGAAGACCAGCCTGACCGACAGGGAGAAACCCCCTTCTCTTCTAGAAACACAACATTAGCTGGGTGGGCTGGCGCATGCCTGTAATCGCAGCTACTCGGGAGGTGGAGGCAGGAGAATTGCTTGAACCCAGGAGGCAGAGGTTGCAGTGAGCCAAGATTGCACCATGACACTCCAGCCTGGGCAACAAGAGCGAAACTCCATCTCAAAACAAAAAACAAAAAACCAGCATGACTTCAAGAGCAGAAAGAGAAGAGATTAAAAACCAGCATAATGAGAAAGTTAGGAAGCTTCTTACCAAAACATCTGGAAATATGCAAGAAATTCTTGTGAACTAAAATTTTCATACTGTACTATCAAACGCTAGAACTCACTTATTCCATCTTTCTGTATTTCGGGACCCAATTATCCACTGGTCTTCATTCCCTATCCCACCCCTTTTCTTCCTAGCGTGTGCTAACCACCTTTATACTTTCCACCTTCTTGAGATTCCTTTTGTGTGTAGGTGTGTGATGGAGTCTCTTTCTGTTGCCCAGGTTGGAGTATACAGGCACAATCCGGGCTCACTGCAAGCTCCGCCTCCCGAGTTCAAGCGCTTCTTGGGCCTCAGCCCTCTGAGTAGCTGAGACTACAGGCACGCGTCACCACGCCTGGCTAATTGTTTGTGTTTTCCGTAGAGACGAGGTTTCACCATGTTGGCCAGGCGGGTCTCGAACTCCTGGACTCAAGTGATCCGTGCGACTCGGCCTCCCACAGTGCTGGGATTACAGGCCTGAGCCACCAAACCTGGCCAAGGTTTCCTTTTTTCTTTCTACATAGAAGTGAGGACAGGAAATATTTGTCATTCTGTGCCGGGCTTCTTTCATTTAATATACAGACCTGCAATCTCATCCATTTTGTCTGCAGCGGAGAGGAGTTTCTTCCTTTTTAGGCTGAATCATACTTCACTGGGTGTGTATACCACAATTTCTTCATTGAAACAAATTTTTGAAGGGCAAATATTTTTGAAATGTCTCGGAATGTGAAACTTCAGGGATACTGTGCCCATTTTATTCTTTTCTATTTCCCATCTTATGTATATGCAAGTGTATAACAAAGCAGGAATCAATGTGTGTATAAATCTATAACTTCAACAAATGTAAAATGTAAATGCTAAGTGGTGGCTGGGCGCGGTCGCTCATGCCTGTAATCCTAGCATTTTGGGAGGCGGAAGCGGGCGGATCACCTGAGGTCGGGAGTTCAAGACCAGCCTGACCAAAATGGAGAAACACTGTCTCTATTAACAATACAAAATAAATAAATAAATAAATAAAAATAAAATTAGCCAGGCATGGTAGCGCATGCCTGTAATCCCAGCTACTTGGAAGGCTGAGACAGAAGAATTGCTCGAATATGGGAGGCAGAGGTTGCAGTGAGCCGAGACCGTGCCATTGAACTCCAGCCTGGGCAACAAGAGCGAAACTCTGACTCAAAAAAAAGGAAAAGAAAGAAATAGAAAATGCGAAATGGTAAGAAAAAACAGCATAATAAACATTTGTATGGTGTTGATGGACAATGCTTTTGAAGATAATATTTGAAGAAAGCATATTACAATTAATTTCTCTTCTTACTCATTGGAGCTTCATGCCTCTAAAAACTTCGTGGTTGGAACCACCTCTGGTGCTTTAAAAGAAAAAAAGAAATCCACGTACTCACACAGGTGCAAGGAAATCAGAATCTAGGGTATTGAGACCCAGGCCTCATCATGTGTAAGCTCCCCAGGTGATTTGACTCAAAGCCAAGATTGAGGAACAGCGACATGGATCTCTACACATACCCTGCCTAAATAGATTCTCTAGAAGCAGTTTATAAAGAAATTCCACAGGAACTCTGGAAGAGGATATGAATTTGATGTACAGTATGTCCTCACTTAACATCTTTGAAAGTCTCTTGGAAACTTCAACTTGAAGCAAAATTATGTATAGTGAAACCGCTTATTTTTCATCAACAGTATAACTACACAACTTTGAACAACCAACGGTGTTGGAGGACCTCCTGTACATTGTTTCCATAAAGTCAGTTTTCAGGGAATTCCAAAACGAAGTGAGGACTTCGTGTATATAAAAAGATGGTAGTGATTCCACCTGGATGACAGGGTTATTGCTCAGAAACTAAAAGAGGCCGCCTAGGTAGAGAGGATTCTGTCATGAGGTTTCTGCTAAACAAAGGATCCCAGAATCCTCACCCATTCCAGTTAAAGGCATAACGAAGAAAGCAATATTCACAAAGGAAATGCAGAAAGGAATAAAAGCCATCAAGCCACAAAAATAATGTGACTAAGGGGCAGGATTTGCAGATGTAGGGATTGAATGTGGTTGCCCTTTCTCACCCACACCAGAAAAAGGATGGAACAGATCATGAGATTCGACTGTTCTGCTGCGCAGCCTCCGCAGGGCACTTTGTATGTCCCTGTTTCTCAGGCTGTAGATGAAAAGGTTCAGCATGGGGGTGACCACAGCTTACATCACTGACACCACCACACCATTCCTGAGGGGTGGTGCCACAGCTGAAGTCAGGTACACGCCAATGCCTGTTCCATCAAATCAGCAAAAAACTGCTAGGTGAGAGCCATAGGTGGAGAAGGCTTTATACTTCCCATCTGACGATGAAATCCTTAGAATGGAGGGGACGATTTTATAGTAAGACAAAAGGATCCCTGAAATGGGAAGAAAACCAAACATAGTACTACCAAAATATATGAAGATGCTATTGATGACGCTGTCAGAACAGGCAAGTTTGAGAAGTTGAGAGGGGTCACAGACAAAATTAGAGATTTCCACATTCTTGATGATGGTGAATTGTAACACAATCCAACTGTGCAGCTGGGAATCCAACAGGCTAAGGAAAAAGGACACCAAAACAAAGAAGACACAGAGATGAGGATTCACGATGACTGGGTAGTGCAGAGGGCGACAGATGCCTACAAAGCAGTCATAGGCCATCACAGTCAGGAGCATGCCTTCTATACATGCAAAAAGGACCAAGAAAGACATCTGTGTCAGGCAGCCCGCATGAGAGATGACTCTGCTATACCACTGCATGTCCACAATCATCTTGGGAACTGTGGCTGAGGTGAAACCGATGTCAGCCCAGCACAGGATGGAGAGGAAGAAGTACATGGTTGTGTGGAGCGGGGACTCAGAGCGGACAGCCAGGATGCTCAGCAAGTTCCTCAGCACCGTGACCAGATACATGGACAGGGACAGGGACAGCAAAGCGAGGACTGGCTGCAGTTCTGGATCCTCTGAGAGTCCCAGGAGGAGGAATTCTCAGACACCTGTGAGATTCCGTGGCTCTGTGTGTCTTGGACACCTTGAGAAGGAAAGAGGATTGGAAAAATAAAAGATAAAAACCAGCCCTTAATGCTGGATGCAAGCAATTCACAAGGAACATCTTCACACTTGCGGACCATACACCGCCAGCAATGTTTCTCAGCTGTGACAATTCCAAAAATCTCAGAATTATTACGTGATTTACTTTTTTGCTGTACAAGGCTTTCTGTACATACTACTTTAGAGAAAATCCACTGAAAAATGTTAGAAGACCGAAACGTCATATATAACAAATCCGTGATCTCAGTAAAATACGGCCTACTCTTTTCAGAAAAAATACAATGCAATGACAATGTCCTTCTCTCTTTAAGAAAAAGATCTCAGTCTAATTGAAAGAAATTGAGAAGCCGTGAAATACACTCTACTTTATTCTGACACCGTGCCACAATTTCCTTTGGTGTAGAATATGTAAAAGGACGACACAAGAGCTAGGACCCCATTATCTGAAAACGACATCGAACCTTATAGTTCTCAATCGGAAGAACTTTTCACATGCCTGTTACTTTTCATATTTATTATCATCCTTCGGTTTTCTGACATCATTTCTTCATAAAAGTACATGCACACTCAAAGATGGGAGCTGTGTTTCCAAATGAATTGAATATAGAACTCTTGGCCAAGCACCATGGCTCACACCTGTAATCCCAGCACTTTGGGTGGCCGAGGCTGATGGATCACCTGAGGTCAGGAGTTCCAGACCAGCCTGGCCAACGTGGTGAAACCCCGTTTCCAGTGAAAATTAAAAAAAAAAAATCAGCCGGGCGTAGTGGCGGGTAACCCTAGCTACTCGGGAGGCTGAAGCAGGAGAATCCCTTAGAACCTGGAAGGCAGAGATTGCACACCCTGTGATAGGATTTTTGATATCCTAGGGAGATATTCCTCCTGACAGCAGAGTGGGCGTACACTCTGTGATATTATTTGTAATATCCTAGAAAAATATTGCTCCTAATATCACCGTGGCTCTACACCCTGTGATCTTAATTGTAATATCCTACAGAGATATTACTTCTAATAATACAGTGGGTGTACACCCTGTGATATTATTCATAATATATTACAGAGATACGACTCCTGATATCACAGTGAATGTAAACCATGTTTGTACACCCTGTGATCTTATTTGTAACAACTTAGAAAAATATTACAGCTAATGTCAAAGTGGGTGTACACCCTGCGATGTTATTTGTTATCTACTAGGTAGATATTACTCCTAATATCACAGTGAGTGTACACCATGTGTGTACAGACTGTGAAATTATTCGTAGTACCCTAGGAAGATATTACTCCTCATATTACAGTGGGTGTACACCGTGAGTGATATTTTTTTCTAATATCCAGCGGGGGAGAGGATGATATTGCTTCCAATATCACAGAAGGTGTACACCCCCCTGTGATATTGTTCCTAATATCCAGGGAAGGAGAGGATGACATTATTCGCAATATCACTGGGGGTGTACCACCTCCCGCCGGGATATTGTTCTTAATATCCGGAGGTGGAGAGAATGATGTTACTCCCAATATCACAGGGGGTGTACACCACCCCTGTTTGTAAACACCCCCTGTGATATTAATCCAAATGGCCTGTGAAAGAGTAAACATGACTCCCATTATCGTGGGGGGTGTTCAGCCCTGATGATATTGTTTTCTGACATCCAGGGAAGGAGAGTATGCTACTACTCCCAATATCGCTCGGGTTGTACACCCTTTTGTGTTTTTGTGCGCAATATCCAGGAAAATAGAGCATGATATTACTGCCGATATCAAAGTAATTGTACAGCACCCCGTGATATTCTTCCTAATATCCAGAAAGGAAAAGAATGATATTACTCCCAACAGCGTAGGAAAGGTTTGCCCGCGCTGTGGTATCTTTCCCAGTATCCAGGTGGGGAGAGGATCATATTACTTCCAATGTCGCAGGGTGTGTACACCCCCTCTGTGATCTCGTTGCTAACATCCAGGTTTGGGGAGGACGACATTACTCCCAATATCGCAGGGGGAGTACACTTCCCCGTGACCTTGTTAGTCATTTCCTGGGTGGACAGGATGATCTCACTCCCAATATTGCAGGGGGTGTACACGCCCCTGTGAAAATCTTCCTATTTCCAGAGGGAGAGAGGATGGTATTACTCCCAGTACTGCAGGGGGTTTACACAGCCCTGTGATACTCTTCCTAATATCCACAGGGAGAGAGCATGATATGACTCCCAATATCGCAGGGAGTGTACTCAACCCTGTGATATTGTTCCTAATATCCAGAGCGAAAGAGGATGACATGACTCTCAATATCGCAGAGGGTGTACACCCCTCCTGTAATATTGTTCTGAATACCCTGTGAGGCAGAGGATAAGGTTACGTTGAATATCGCAGGGAATGTACACCCTCCCCCTCTGATACCCTTCCTAATGTCCAGGGGAAGAGAGGAAAATTTCACTCCCAATATCACAGAGGCAGTACACCCTACCTGTGATGTTGTTCCCAATATACAAGGGGGGAGAGGATGATACTACTCTCAATATCGCAGGGCTGTTCACATCCCCAGTGACATTTTTTCCTAATATCTAGGGGAGAGACAATTATATGACAGCAAAGGTCGCAGGGTCTGTACATTCCTTCCTGATATTGCTCCTAATATCCAGGGGGGAAGAGGATGATATCAAATATGAAAAGGGGTGTGCATCCCCCATCCCTACCATATTGTTCTTAGTAATTGTGAGGGGAGACGATGATATTGCTCCAAGTATCGCAGGGGTTGTTCACAACCCCCTGTGATATTGTTTGTGATATCCAGGGGGGGAGAAAATCATATTACCTCCAATATTGCAGGTGGTGTATACCCCACCAGAAATATGGCACCGAATATCCAAAGAGGGAGAGGATGGTATTCATACCAATATCGAAGTGTGTGTACACGCCCCTTGTGATATGGTTTTTAATATCCAGTGGGCGGGAGGATGATATTAGTCCCAACATCCCAGAGGGTGTACACTACCCCTGTGATATTGTCCCTAACTTTCAGAGGGGAGAGGATGATATCACTCCCAATATCTCAGAAGTTGTACATCCCCCGTGATATTGTTCGTCATATCCAGGGAGGCGCAGGATGACATTTCATTGAATTTCGCGACAGGCGTACACGCACAGTGTGATATTGTTCCTAATATCCAAGAAGGCAGAGGATGATATTACTCCCAATAAAGCAGTGGGTGTACATCACCCCTGTGTTATTGTCTCTAATATCCGGGGCTGGGGGAGGTGGGGAGAGGATAACATTCCCTCAAATTTAGCAGGTGGTTTGACGCCCCTTGTGGTGTTGTTTTAAATATCCAGCAGGGAAGACAATAGTACTATTTTTGATAGTCCGATTCATCCACTCCACCTTTCCGGAACTCTGAGGCCGGGAGGTGGCATGCAGTTTCCGTGTGATCCCCAATACCTTTGCCGTCTTCTGTACCAAGGCAGCCAAAAATGCAGGCCCGTTGTCTGAGCCGATCCATAAGGGCGGTCGAAATCTAGGAATCAGATCCCGAAGAAGCACAGGGGTTACTTCACGAGCTTTCTCAGTTCGTGTTGGATAGGCCTCCACCCACCCAGAGTAGGTACGCCCAAGAACTAGTACATACTTGTTACCTCCACACTTTGGCATCTCTCTGAAGTCCACCTGGAGACCTTCAAAGGGGGCTGCTCCATAAGCTCGTATGCCGTGTGGAACGGCTGGACCTTGCCTCGCATCATGCTGTCGGCAGGTAACACACCGCTGCCTCACCGTTTTGGCAAGGGCTGACAGAGGCGAGATGAAGAAATACCAGCCTAACAACTTTTCCAGTGACTCCTGACCTCGATGGGTGGTTTCTTACACAGCCAGTACAACTGCAGCTCCTAGCAGCTGTGGCACAGCTAGTCTCCCATCTGGTAACCGAATCCATCCTTCCTCCATCACTTGTCCTTCCCTCTACCTGGAGAAAGTCCTTTTCTTCTTTAGAAGAAGTAGGTCCAAGATCAGGTGCTTGAGGGAGCACTGATGCCCGGAAGGGGGCAGATGCTGCTTTTTGAGCCTCTGAGTCAGCGCGAGAATTCCCCAAACCCAGCAAGGTGGAAGCTCGCTGGTGTCCTCTGCAATGCATAACTGCCACCTTGTGGGGTTTCCATACTGCTTCTAATCATTGCAAGATTTCTTGTTGATATTTTCTGTCTTTTACCCCAGAGTTCAGTAGGCCCTTTTCTTTCTATCATGCTCCATGCACTTGAAGGGTTGAAAAGACATACCAAGAATCAGTGTAAATGTTGACAGTCTCACCCTCACTGAGTTCTAAGGCACGAATGAAAGCAATGAGTTCAGCTTTCTGGGCTGAAGTGGCCTGGGGCAAGGATCTGGCTTCAAAAACAGTGTCCAGGGTTATCACTGCATACCCTGCACCTCTCTCTCTCCTTGGGGGTTGAAGAAGCTGCTCCCATACACGTATAGTTTCCAGTCTCCTGATGCCCAAGCTTGGTCCCGGAGGTCAGGTCTGCTAGAGTCAACTGAATCCAACACTTCTACACAATCAGGCTCGACAGTGCTCTCTGATACCGGGAGCAAGGAGGCGGGGTGTAGGGTGTTACAAACTTCAATGGTTATACGGGGATTCTCACAGAGCAAAGTTTGGTACTTGATGAGTCTGGCATCCGTTAGCCAATGATGTCCTTTAGTATTCATTAAAGTCACCACAGCACGGGAGGCCTTTATGTTCAGGTTTTGCCCAAGAGTCAGCTTATTTGCTTCTTGTACTAGCAGGGCAGTTGCTGCCAAGGCCCTCAAACAGGGGGGCCATCCTTTAGAAACCCCATCTAGTTGTTTAGAGAGGTAGGCCACCAGTCTCAGCCAGGGCCCCACAGTTTGGGTTCAAAGTCCAGCTGCCATCTTTTCTCTCTCTGATGCACACAATGGAAAAGGCTTTCTCAGTTCTGGTAACCCCAGGGCTGGGGCTGCCAGAAGTTTTTCCTTTAACTCATGAAAGACTTGCTGTTGTTGGGATCCACATTCCAAAGGTTCCCGGTCCCCGCCCCTTTTGTGACCTCATACAAAGGCTTGGCTAATACTGCAAAGTTTGGGATCCACAGTCTACAAAACCCCACAGCTCCTAAGAATTCTCTCACCTGCCTCCTGCTCTTAGGCTCCGCTAGATTGCAAATGACCTGCTTTCTTTCTGATCCTGGACTGCGTTCCGACCCCTGTCGGATAGTCAAACCCAAGTAACTTACCTGCCGTCGGCAGATCTGAGCTTTCTTCTTGGACACCTTCTACCCACAGTCCTCCAGGTGCCGGTGTAGGGCATCTGTTCCCTTGGCACACCCGACTGCCGTGGGGTGTCCCAGCAGAAGGTCATCAACCTACTGGAGCAACACGCAGCCTAGGTCTCTGCTGGGAAACTTCTGGGGGTCTCGAGCCAACGCCTCCCCGAAGATGGTGGGGGAGTTCTTGAACCCTTGGGGAAGCCCGGTCCAAGTGTACTGAGTAGTGACACCTGACTCCGGATCTTCCCACTGAAAGGCAAACAGCTTCTGCCTCTCAGGGGCTAATCTGATAGGAAAGAAAGCGTCTTTCAGGTCCAAGCAGGTGAACCAGCTGTCCTCAGCCGGCAGCAACCCCAACAATGTGGACGGGTTAGGTACTGTTGGATGTAAAGTCAGTGTAGCTTGATGAAGCAAGGGCAAATCCTGTACCGGCCGGTAGTCCTTGGTCCGTGGCTTGGGAACAGGCAGGAGGAGAGTGTTCCATGGAGACTGACAAGGAACAATAATTCCAAAAGTTCTTAGGTGCTTGAGACGGACCTGGATACCTTGAAGGGCTTCTCTGGGGACCGGGTCCTGTTTTTGCCTCACCGGCTGGGCCCCAGTCTTAACTGGCCAATCCCGGAGGGTTCTCTTCTGCCCGTACTCTTGGCCACCGCTTAGCCAGAGCTGGTCTTCTCTCTTGGCCTGGCTCAGTTAAGAAAACTCTCCATTCCTCGTCTCCGGGGACCATAAGTGTCATAATGACTCCTGTTCCAGGTAACTTTAGCAGCAAAGAGCCGTGGTCTGTCAAACACATAGTGGCTCTCAGCTTGCTGAGCAAGTCCCTTCCCAAAAAGGTCAAGGGACAGTCAGGCATGTACCAAAACTGATGAATGACTTTATGTCCTCCTACAGTACAAGTCCGAGGCAAGCAGAAAGCTTGCTTTGCTGAAACCCATGTGGCTCCGATGACATCAATAGTCTTTTTGGATAAGGGGGCGACCGGGGCGGTTCCTAGCAAATGTTCAGCACCGCTATCTACAAGAAAGTCAATGTCTCCACCCCCAACTGTCATTCTGAGCAGAGGCTGTTTGGGTACGCTTGAGCCCGGTCTCCCTCAGTCCAAGAACCCTTCTGCCAGGTTGAGCAGGGCCCCTTCCTCCTTGTCCGGGGCCTCCTGCTCTGAGTCACCTTGTTTTCTTTTGAGCTGAGGGCATTTGTTCTTCCACTGTCCTATTTCTTTACAATGAGCACACTGGTTACACTGCAAACTCTGACAGCCAAGCTGAGTTTCTTTCCCAGGGCCCCCCTTCCCTTGCCTCTTTGGGGGGGCCCCTCTGATTGCTGCAGCTGACAAACAGGTCAGCGTGTCACCGGGCCTGACCTCCATTCTCTTTGCCGTTTTCCTTAGGGCTTACTGCATCCCTGTTTACAAACATCTGGCTAGCTATTTCTAGTAATTGTGATGGATTCATCCCTGCAAGCCCAGCCTGTTTCTGCAGTTTTCTTCTCATGTCTTCTGCGCTTTGACGGACTAAAGCCATGTGAATCATGCGCTGATTTTCAGGGCTATCGGGATCAAAGGGAGTATACATACGATAGGCCTCACACAGTCTCTCGTCGAATTGTGCTGGACTTTCTTCTTTTCCCTGAATGACCTCAGAGAGCTTGTTAATGTTTGTGGCCTTCTGAGCTCCCCTCTTGAATCCTTCCAAGAGAGCTTCCCTGTCTCGGTTTAGCCTTTGCAACTCCTCTCTTTCATGTGGGTCCAACTGGGGGTCGGTTCCTGGCAACTGGGTCCTTCCATACTCTTGGGGGTTTTGATAATCAGCTGGTGCATGTTCCTCTAGCCACTTAGTTCCTGCTTGCAGGACTCTCCGCCTTTCTTCGCTGTTAAAGAGGAACATGAGCAACTGGTGCCAATCAGCCCAGGTGGGGTTGTGGGTCTGGATAACAGCTTGGAGCAAATCAATTAGGGCTTGTGGCTTTTCGGTATAGGGCGGTGTATTGTTTTTCCAGTTGAGAAGGTCGACGCAGGTGAAGTGCTGGTACCCAAAAACATGCCTCTCTACCACGTGACCATCCTCGTCTATCCCAGTATACCGCTGCTCTCTCAGGGGCATTTGTGTCCCCGTTTTGGGTCGTAAACGAGCTGCCGAGGGAGGGGTGGAATGGCGCAAGGCGACTTACCGCAATTAATAATCTCAATTATTAATAGACACTAATAATTATCAATATTAATAACCCATAATATAATTTTTAAAATCAATAACGATAATAATAATTACTATTAAATAGTTATACTAACGGAAAAAATAAATGATTAATATTAATGATTAATGACATCTGATATTAATAACTGATACTGATCTTATTCATTAGAAAACAGTAAAGATTAGCTCCTAATAATTAATATTAATATTAATAATGGGACACTTTTATTAGCAATTATTTCTTAATATTAATATTAATATCGGTCATTCATATTCCTGTTAATAATAAATGAGGAATAATTCATACTAATATTACGCCCTAACACCTCAGGGGGTGTACACCCACCTGTGATAGTGCTCCCAATGTCCAGGGAGGGAGAGAGCATGATATTACGTTCAATATCGCAGTAGGTGTACACACAGCCGGTGATATTGATCCGAATATCACCGAATAATCTCCAGGGGGTGGAGTATGACCTTCCTCCCAATATAGCACTGGATGTGCATCCACCCGGTGAATTTGCTCCTAATATTCACGGAAGAAGAGAATGCCATTACTCCCAACATCACAGGAAGTGTCCACCCCCGTGTAAGATGGTCCTTAAAAATATTCCAAGGCGGAGGAGGTGCTATGACTACATGTATGGCAGAGAGTGGACACCCCCAAGGATATCCTTCCCATGATCCTGGAAGGAAGAGGATAATATTACTTTCAAAATCACAGAAGGTGGACACGCCCCCAATGATATTGTTTCTAATTGCAACGTGGGAGAGGAGGACATGACACCCGATATCCCAGAGAGTAGAAACCCCCCTGAGATACTGTTCCTAATATTCAGGGAGGAAGAGGATGATATGACTCCCGATACAGACGGGTGTACAACCTCTGTACACAAAGGGTGTACACCGGTCTGTGAAACGGTTCATAATCTCCAGAGGGGGAGATGATATTACTCACAATATGATAAACAGGCTGTGAGTCTACCGCGGATCCTAAGAGCCAGGGGGGCAAGAGGGGCTGGCTCTGACTCCCTGCATAGCGGGGGGCGCCTCGCCCCCCTGCGATGGGGGTCCTAAGAGCCAGGGGGGCAAGAGGGGCTGGCTCTGACTCCCCACATCGCGGGGGGCGCCTCGCCCCCCTGCGATGTCCATCGTCATATCCAGGGGCGAGGGGGTGGTGATAAGCCTGCCCGCATCTCGGGGGCGCCCGCCCCCCTTCCATGTTGATCGTCATATCCCAGGGGAGAGAGTGGGGTGATATTACTTCCCATGTCTCTGGACGCGGCCGCCGCCCTGCGATGGGGATCGTCACATCCAGCTGTGGATCGGGGGGTGGTATTACTCTCCGATTTGTCCTAGGATCCTTTCTATACTGCCCCCCTCTGTTCACACCCTGGGACGTTATCTTCCATATTCTAGCAATATGCGGCTGCTAAAGTCGCAGGGGGTATACACCCTTCAATATTATTCGTAATTTTGTAGGGGAATGTTCAACCTGATGTCACAGGACTCTGTACACTGTGATGTTATTCCCAATATCCTAGTTTTACTTTAATAATAATGTCACATTGTGTGTACACCTTGTGGTGTTATTCTTATTCTCCTAAGGGGAGGTTGCTTTTATTGTCACACGAGGTATGTTCCTTTTGATATTATTCATAATGTCCTAGAGGGGTGTCACTCCTTCTGTCACAGGGTTTGTACACCTTTTCAAATTACTCGTATTATCCCCATAAGATGTCACTCCTCATTTCACAGAGGGTGTACACCCTGTGAGATTGTCGTCATATTCTAGGGAAATGTTATTTTTAGTGTCACAGAGGGTGCACACCTTGTGAAATTATTCGCTATAATTTTGTGGGATGTTACCCCTAATGTCAGACGGCGTGTACACACAGTGATGTTATGTGCAATATGCTATGGAAATGTTACTCGTAATTCACAGTTCCTGTACACCCTTTAATATTCTTCGTATTCTTCTAGGAAAACGTTACTGCTAATATCACAGGGTGTGTAGACCCTGTCATAAAATTCCTAATATCCTAGTGGGAGTTCACTACTAATTTCACAATGCGTGTACACCCTTTGATATTATTCGTATTGTCCTGAAGAGATGTTACTACTGATGTCCCAATGCAGGTACATTCTCTGATCTTATTGGTTATATCCTCGGGGGGTGTTACTTCTAATGTCACACGGGGTATACTCCCTGTGTTCGATTTTGTAATATCCTAGGGCAATTTTACTTTTAATGACACAGGGGGTGTACACATTGTGATATTATTCGTGATATTCTAGAAAGATGTTATTCCTACTGTCACAGGGCTGTACACCCTGTGATACTATTCATAATTTCCCAGGGGTCTATACCCCTATTGGCACAGGCGATAACACCCTGTGACATTATTCGTAATATTCTAGTGAGATGATACTCCTGATGTCACAGGGGGTGTACACCCCTTGTTATTATTCTTACTATTCTAGGGGGATGTTACTCCTAATGTCACAGGGATGTACACCCTGTGATATTATTCATAGTGTACCAGAGGGATATTTGCAGTAATGTCACAATGCGTGTACACCTTGTGATATTATTTGTCATATCCTAATGTCACAGGGGCTGTGTTCCGTGTGATAGTCTTCCTAACATCCTAGAAGGATATTGCTCCTAAGGTCACAGGGTGTGTACACCTTGTCACATCATTCATAATATCCTAAAACTATGTTATTCCTCAGGTCACAGGGGGTGTTCACCCTGTGATATTTTTCGTCATAGTTTTGTGGGATGTTACTCCTAAAGTCACACGGGGTGTACACAGAGTCACACAATGATATGAGTTGTAATATTCTATAGACATGTTACTAGTAAATCACAGGGGCTGTACCTCCTGTGATATTATTCGTAATATTCTAGGGGAATGTTGCTACTATTGTCATGGGGGTGTACACCCTGTGATATGACTCATCATATCCCAGCGGGATGTTACTACTAATGTCACAATGCCTGTACACCCTGTGATATGATTTGTAATATCCTAAAGAGATGTTACTACTAAGGTCACAATGCATGTACACCCTCTGATATAATTCGTTCTATCCTCGGGGTATGTTACTCCTAATGTCACACGGGGTGCACTCCCTGTCATATTATTCGTAATATCCAAGGGGGATATTATTTTTAATGTCACCGGGGGTGACATTACGCATTAAAAATGTGTATTAAAAGCCTGTGATACTATTCCTAATATCCTAGGGGCATGCTCTTCCGAATGTCACATGGGGTGTACAACATGTGTGTACACCTGCTGTGATATTATTTGTAATATCCTAGGGGAATGTTACTCCTGATGACACAGGCCGTGTACACCATGTGTGTACACCTCCTGTGTTATTATTCATAATATCCTAGGGGGATGTTTCTTTTAATGTCACAAAGAGTGTACAAAACGTCACAGAAGGTGTACACGTTGTGAGGTTAACTGTAGTACCCTAGAATGATGTTACTCCTAATATGTCACAGGGGTGTACACGCTTTGATGTTATTTATAATCTCATAGAGAGATGTGACTTCAAATATCACAGTGGGTGTACACACATAGTGTATATCCTGTGATAGTATTCATAATATCCTAGGGAGATGCAACTCCTGATATCACAGTGCGTGTACCCTGTGTGTGTACACCCTTGATATTAGTCATAATATCCAGGGTAAATATTACTCCTCATATCACACAGTGTGCACACCCTGTGATATTTTCCCTCATACTTTAGGGAGATATTGCTTCTAACACCACAGCGGGTGTAGCCCATGTGTGTATACTCTGTGACAGTATATTCTATATCCTAGGGAGGTATTACTCCTAATATCACAGTGGGGTCTTCACCCTGTGATATCATTCTTATTTGACCTTGCTGCCTTTTTTAACCCACCCTACAAAAGGAATGGAACAGATAAGAAGATATTGATATTAGACCTTGCTGCCTTGCGGCCGCCGCAGAACACTTTTAATATCCCCGTTTCTCAGGCTGTAGATGAAGGGGTTCAGCATGGGGGTGACCACCGTGTACATCACTGAGGCCACTGCACCCTTTCTCGGGGAAGATGACACATCTGAACTGAGGTACCCTCCAACGCCTGTTCCATAAAATCAGCAAACAACTGACAGGTGAGACCCACAGGTGGAGAAGGCTTTATAGTTCCCACCTGATGATGAAACCCTCAGAATGGAGGAAACAATTTTATAGTAAGAGAAAAGGGTCCCCGAGATCTGAAGAAAACCAAATATGGCAGCAGGGAAATACATGATTATGTTATTGGTGAAGGTGTCACAACATGCAAGATGGGGGAGTTGAGAAGGGTCACAGAAGAAATTAAGAATTTCCACATCCTTGAAGCAGGTCATTTGTAAGGCAATCAAGTTGTGCAGCTGGGTGTCTAAAAGACTGAGAAAAAAAAAAGACAACAAAACTAGAAAGCCACAGAAACACGGGTTCATGCTGGCTGAATGACATAGAGGGTGACAGATGGCTACAAACCGGTCATAGGCCATCACACTCAGGAGCGTGTCTCTCTTCCATGCCTCCAAAAATGGCAAAGAGAGACATCTGAGTCAGGCAGCCTGCATAGAAGATGACTCTGCCGTGAGATTGGATGTCCACAATCATCTTGGGGACCGTGGTGGAGGTGAAACCGATGTCAGGCAAGGACAGGTTGGAGAGGAAGAAGTACATGGGGGTGGGGAGGTGGGAGTCAGGGCTGACGTCCAGGATGATGATCAGGTTCCCCAGCACCGTGACCAGGCACATGGACAGGAACAGCCCAGCAAGGACCAGCTGCCGTTCTGGATCCTCTGAGGTTCTAGGAGGAGGAATATAGAGACATCTGTTAGATTCTGTGGGTCTGTAGAGATTGGGCACCTTTTGCCTAGAAAAGAGGGTTGAGAAATCGGAAACAAATAAACCAACACCCAGCATCGTGTCTGCATTTTGGATAGAAGCAATTCACAAGTAATGTTTTCAGATTTCAGAGCAATCCACACTCAGCAATATTTTGCAGTTCTGACAAACTCAATTGTCTTCTAATGCTTTCATCATTGATTTCTGTGTTATTCACTTCTTGCTGTACACACCTGCCTCAGAGACACTGGATTCAAGAATGTTCCAAGAACCAGATCATCATATATAATAAATTCGTAATTGCTAGAAAAGACAGCCTATCTTTACCGAAGGAAACTATGTAATAAAACCATTCTCTTCACTTTAAGAAAAAGGTTATCCTAATTCAAGGAAATTAAGAACTCAAATATTTTATTTTATTTGAATAGATTGATACAAATTCCCTTGATTTAGAACATCTGTAAACACTGTATAACTGCTGAGACCATGCCATCTGGAAATGAAATTAAAGTTGATAGTTCATAAGCAGAAAATAGTTCCACAGGCCAGTTAGGTCCTAGTGATTTCATCATTATGTTTTCTGACTTTTCTCCTTCAAGAGAGTAATTGCTTACTCAAATCGGTGGGTCTTGTTTTAAAATTCATGGAAGCTATAACTCCTGTCCTTAGCTTCGGTGGACTTAGAGTTTTCATCAGAACGTTTGGACGGACGCGGTGGCTCACGCCTGTGATCCCAGCATTTCGGGAGGCCGAGGAGGGCGGATCACGGGGTCAGGAGATCAAGACCATCCTGGCCAAAATGGTGAAACTCCGCCTCTACTGAAAATACAAAACTTTGCCCAGTATGGCGGCGCGCGCCTGTAGTCCCAGCTACTCAGGTGGCTGAGGCAGGAGAATGGCTTGAACCTGGGAGGCAGAGGCTACAGTGAGCTGAGATCACACCACTGCACTCCAGCCTGGGCAACAAGAGCAAAACTCCATCTCAAAAAACAAAAAACCAAAAAGACACGCTCTGTCACACTGACGTCACACTGATGACAGCCAATTTTTGTGAACCAAGGAAGTGTCAATTCAATAATTCACATAGATGTTTACTTTTGCTATCTCCTTTGTGCCAAGCAAGATATAGGCTCTGGGGAATCAGAAACAAAAGAGACTCACTTGTTCCTCTCACAATACTCAGTACTTACTGAGATAAGGACAAAATAAAATGTCCTGTCCGGAATGTAGGGAAACCAGAACTTCAGGTCAGGGGACATTTCCGTTGAACCGTATGGAGTTTAAGCTTAAAATATTAACGAATGTATCTAAAATTCACTTTGCCTTTACTTTACGCATCCGTCACATAGAGATCACGCAGCGGGAACCCACGATCGGTTTCATCATCGCTCACTTCCATTGGATCAATTAGAAATCAATCAGATGAGAGTGCTGAGTCTCAGAGGATGGATGTCTCACCCCTTGCCATACAGATAAGTAGAAAGGGTGGTATTGAAAATTAATGGCCAGACTCTAAGTCCCAGGCACTATATTTGATGGTCTCCCAACCCTCAAAATGTTGTGGGTTCTTTTTTGTTTTTGTTTTTGAGATGGAGTCTCGTTCTGTTGCCCAGGCTGGAGTGCAGTGGAGTGATCTCGGCTCACTGCAACCTCCGCATCCCAGGTTCAAGCTATTCTCTTACCTCAGCCTGCCAAGTAGCTGAGATGACAGGCGCTCGCCACTACGCCCGGCTAATATTTTTCTCTTTTTAGGAGAGGCGGGGTTTCACCATGTTGGCCAGGCTGGTCTCGAACACCTGACCTTGTGATTCACCTGCCTCAGCCTCCCAAAGTGCTGGGATTACAGGCGTGAGCCACCGCGCCCAGCTTCCAAAAGTTTTCAACAGAGCTTAGGGCTCTTAACCACAGGCACATGGGAGGAGCATTTTTGAAATGGTTTCCAGCTTCCTCAATAGGAATGGAAACCAAACCCCGAATTGATGACTCCTTTGAGGAAGTTGAGAGCTGTAAGGAAAGCCAGGAACAGGGGCAAGGGAGAGATGCATCCCGAATGATCCTGTGCCAATTCTTTCTGGAATCCTTGATGTGATCTCAGCTGCCCTTTCCCTACTTGACACAGTGATTGTGGCACCCACTAGTCTAGCTGTGGTCTACAAGGAACCCCCAAAGGGAAGGGCACAGTGAGCAGGGGCATCGGCCCGAGTGACAAGGATTTGAGAGGGCAGGCTGGATGCAGGGAGAGGACTGGCCAAATGCCATGTGTCTGGCCTTAGACTGCCTGGTTCAAATTGGGCTTCACTCTTTTTGACTTCATGATCTGGTACAAGTTCTATGAAAATGTGTTGCTCCTTTTCTAGTCTGTAAAATCATCAGGAAATGTGCACTAATAACTGGGAGACTACGCAGATGAAATGAAACAAGCTGCATAGAACACAGAGCTCAGAGTCTGGCCTTTAGGAAGCCCTCAGTAAGTGTTCATGATGCGGTGGTGTCTGTCATCATCCTCTTTATCCTCATCATCACCTTCATCATCTTTTTGTTGTTCTGAGGGAATAGTATAGAGGGACCCATTCCCTGCTATCGTGGGTGAGACGTCTATGAAAAGGACAACCAGTGGGGGAGGGAAGCAAAATTTTGAAGAATATTCCTGAGAGAGACCCCCCCCACCACAACCAAGAACAGAAACTCCACAGTCTGCTGAGCTGACAGTTTGCACGTTGGTCTCCTCCCATCTGCCCACGGCACTCTCCTGTTTGTCCTGAGGATGAGGAAATGAACAAGGCTCCCGACGGTCCCTCAGCACTCACTGAACTGCCCTTCCCCTCTGCTGGGCCATGACCATGGAGAACAGGTCCACTGTCCTCTCTGCGTGGTGCACATTGGAGGCTCAGACTCCATCCTCAAGGCTGGCCAGAAGACAGGGTGAGACATGAGCCTCCTGATACAGGTGACAGTTGTGGAGCCCACAGGACTGCAACCTCACACCGCGGAGCTGGAGGCACAGACTGAGTTTTTACTATTCTATGGTGTGGGGGGCTCAAGGCACAGAACTCCTCATTAGCCAGAGTCGCCCAAGTTCCCCAAGCTCTAAGGATTTCCTCATCATCATGCAAGAAGAAGAAGAGAAAAGTGAGTGTCCATAGAAGTTCTGGGGCTCTTCCTCTAATCAGGAGAGAGCTTGTGTGTATTATTCGCTTCTTTCTTTTCTTTTACAAGATCCAAGTGCTTTAATTTTCATCTTTTATTGTGGGAAAATATACCACGTATAAATGCTTAAAATTATAAATATATATTATTTCATATAGAATGGCCAGTATAAACATTTATAATTTCCACTATTTTTCAGTTTACAGTTTAATCACATTAGGTACATTCACATTGTTTAGCAACCATCACCGCCATCATCTCCAGAACAGTTTTATCCTTGAAAATGGAAATTGCACCCATAAACCAAACTCTCCATTCCTCTCTCTCTCGCCCACCCCTGGGGGCCACCATTCTATTTTGCAACTCTATAAGTTTAACTACTCTAGATACGTGATATAAGTGGAATCATACCGTGTTTAATTTTTTTGGTTCGTTTGTTTTGGAGACAAAGTCTTTCTCTGTCGCCCAGGCTGGAGTGCAGTGGCGTGGTCTCAGCTGACTGCCACCTCCACATCGTGGGTTCAAGCGATTCTTGTGTCTCAGTCTCCTGAGTAGCTGGGATCACAGGCGTGTGCCACCACGCCCAGCTAATTGTTGTATTTTTAATAGAGACGAGCTTTCACCATATTAGCCAGGCTGGTCTCGAACTCCTGACCTTAAGTGATCCGCCTGCCTCAGCCTCCCAAACTGCTGGGGTTACAGGTGCGAGCCACTGAGCCTGGTCATCTTTATCCTTTTGGGATTTATTTATTTCACTGACAAGAATGTCTTCAAGGTTCATCCGTGTTGCAGCCTGTGTCAGAAGTGCCTGTCAGGTTGCTGGGGTGTTTTTGTTTTTTTTTTTTTTTTTTTGGTTTTGTTTTGTTTTGTGTTCACATGGAGTCTCACTCTGTCGCACAGGCTGGAGTGCAGTGGCACAATCTGGGCTCACTGCAACCTCCGCCTCCCGGGTTCCAGCGATTCTTGTGCCTCAGCCTCCCGAGTAGCTGGGTCTATAGGCACACGCCATCATGCTTGTCTAATTTTTTGCATTTTCAGTAGAGACAGGGTTTCACCAAGATGGGCAGGCTGGTCTTGAATTCCTGACCTCAGGTGATCCGCCCACCTCGGTCTTCCAAGATGCTGGGATTACAGGCGTGAGCCACCGCACCGGCCAGAAGTGCCTGCATTTTTAAGGCTGAATAGTCTTCCATCGCATGAATGAATTGCAAGTGTGCTTTTTCATTCATCTGTCCACGAACCCTTGGGTTGCTTCCACATTTTGGCTGTTGTGAATAATGCTGCTATGAATTTGGGTGTGCAAATCTCTCTTCCACTCCTGCCTTCTAATTCTTTTTGGCAGGTACCCACAAGTGCCACTGCGGGAACATCTGATAATCCTGTTTCTACTTTTTCCGGTACACGCCATACTATTTCCCTGTTCCTTCACGGTTTTACATTCCCTCCAATCAGATTCGAGCATTCCTACTTCCCTCTAGTTTCACCAATGCTTGTTTGTTTATCATATCCATCCAAATGTGTGGTATCACATTCTTGGTTTGATTTGCGCTTCCCTAGGATGAGTGATTTTGAACATCATTTTAGATGCTTATTGGCCATTGCTGTATCTTCTTTAGGAACATGTCTACTCGAGTCTTCTGACCATTGTTGATGGGATGTTTTGGGTTTCTTGTTGTTTAGTTCTAGCTCTTCTTTGTATATGATGCATATCAGCCTCTTTTCACAGATATGATTTGCAAATATTTTTCCTAATCCATGGGTTACCTTTTCACTCAGTTCACAGTGTTTGCTGATGCACAAAAGTGTCTGTCATTTAGATGTAATCCAAGGAATATAATTTTCTTTAGTTGCCTATACTTTTGGTGTCATATCCCAGAAAGCATTGCCCAATCTGATGTCATGAAAGTGTGGCCAATGTTTTCTTTTAGGCATATTATACTTTCAGCACTTGGGGTTAGGTCTTTGATCCAGTTTGTATTAATTTTTGCACCTGGTGTGACATAGAGTCCACCTTCATTCTTCTGCCTGTGGAAATCAAGTTTCTCCAACACCATTTCTTGAAAAGGCTGCTTTTCCATCAATGGACTTTCTTAGCACTCATGTGAAAAATCATTTGAACATATAGGTGAGAAGTTATTTCTGGGCTCCAAAACAAACAAACAACAACAGACAACGGATAAGGATGCAGCATGTGCCAGGCACCATTGCTCATGCTTGTAATCCAAGCACTTTGGGAGGCCGAGGTGGGCGGATCAACTGAGGTCAGGAGTTCAAGACCAGCCTGACAGACAGGAAGAAACCCTCGTCTCTACTAGAAATACAACATTAGCTGGGTGTGCTGCCGCATGCCTGTAATCCCAGCTGCTCGGGAGATGGAGGCAGGAGAATCGCTTGAACCCAGGAGGCAGAGGTTGCGGTGAGCCAAGATTGCACCATTACACTCCAGCCTGGGCAACAAGAGTGAAACTCTCTCTCAAAACAAAAAACCAAAAACAAAAATCCAGCATGATTTCGAGAGCAGAAAGTGAACAGCTGAAAAACCAGCATAATGAGAAAAGTAGGAAGCTTCTTACCAAAGCATCTGGAAATATGCAAGAAATTCTTGTGAACTAAAATTTTCATACTGTACTATCAAACACTAGAACTCACTTATTCCATCTTTCTGTATTTTGGGACCCAATTATCCACTTCTCTTCATTCCCCATCCCACCCTTTTTCTTCCTAGCGTCTGCTAACCACCCTTATACTTTCCACCTTCCTGAGATTCCTTTTGTGTGTAGGTGTGTGATGGAGTCTCTTTCTGTTGCCCAGGTTGGAGTATACAGGCACAATCCGGGCTCACTGCAACCTCCGCCTCCCGAGTTCAAGCGCTTCTTGGGCCTCAGCCCTCCGAGTAGCTGAGACTACAGGCACGCGTCACCACGCCTGGCTAATTGTTTGTGTTTTTAGTAGAGATGGGGTTTCACCATGTTGTCCAGGTGGGTCTCGAACTCCGGGCCTCAAGTGATCCGTGCGACTCGGCCTCCCACAGTGCTGGGATTACAGGCCTGAGCCACCACACCTGGCCAAGATTTTCTTTTTTGTTCCTACATGGAAGTGAGGATATGAAATATTTGTCATTCTGTGCCTGGCTTATTTCACTTAATATAAAGACCTGCAATCTCATCCATTTTGTCTGCAGTGGAGAGGATTTTGTTTATTCCTTTTTAGGCTGAATAATACTTCATTGCGTGTGTATACCACAGTTTCTCAATTGAAACAAATTTCTAAAAAGCAAATATTTTTAACATGTCTCGGAATGTGAAACTTCAGGGATACTGTGCCCGTTTTATTCTTTTCTATTTCCCATCTTATGTATATGCAAGCGTATAACAAAGCAGCAATCAAAGTGTGTATAAATTTGTAATTTCAACAAATGTAAAATGAAAATGCTAAGTGGTGGCTGGGCGCGGTCACTCACGCCTGTAATCCCAGAACATTGGGAGGCGGAAGCGGGCGGATCACCTGAGGTTGGGAGTTCAAGACCAGCCTGACCAATATAGAGAACCACTGTCTGTACTAAAAATACCAAAAAAAAAAAAAAAAATTAGCCAGGCATGGTAGCGCATGCCTGTAATCTCAGCTACTTGGAAGGCTGAGACAGGAGAATCGCTTGAATACGGGAGGCAGAGGTTGCAGTGAGCCGAGATCGTGCCATTGCACTCCAGCCTGGGCAACAAGAGTGAAATTCTGCCTCAAAAAGAAAAAAAAAAAAAGAAAAAGAAAAAATAGAAAATGCTAAATGGTAAGAAACAACAGCATAATAAACATTTGTATGGTGTTGATGGACAATGCATTTGAACATAATATTTGAAGAAATCATATTACAATTAACTTCTGTTCTTACTCATTGGAGCTTGATGCCTCTAAAAACTTCGTCATTGGAACCACGTCTGGTGCTTTAAAAAAAAAAAAAAAAAAAAAAAAAAAAAACCCACATACTCACACAGGTGCAGGGAAATCAGAATCTCAGGTATTGAGACCCAGGCCTCATCATTTGTAAGCTCCCCAGGTGATTTGACTCAAAGCCAAGATTGAGGAAAGGTGATATGGATCTTTACACATAACCTGCCTAAATAGATTCTCTAGAAGCAGTTTATAAAGAAATTCCACAGGAACTCTGGAAGAGGATATGAATTTGATGTACAGTATGTCCTCACTTAACATCTTTGAAAGTCTTTTGGAAACTTCACCTTTAAGCAAAATTAGGTAGAGTGAAACCACTTATTCCTCACCAACATTATAACTACATGACTTTGAACGCACCAGTGGTGTTGGAGGACCTGCTGTACATTGCTTCCATAAAGTCAATTTTCAGGGAATTCCAAAATGAAGTGAGGACTTCCTGTATATAAAAAGATGGTTGTGATTTCACCTGGATGACAGGGTTATTGCTCAGAAACTAAAGGAGGCCGCCTAGGTAGAGAGGATTCTGTCATGAGGTTTCTGCTAAACAAAGGATCCCAGAATCCTCACCCATTCCAGTTAAAGGCATAACGAAGAAAGCAACATTCACAAAGGAAATGCGGAAAGGAATAAAAGCCATCAAGCCACAAAAATAATGTGACTAAGGGGCAGGATTTGCAGATGTAGGGATTGAATGTGGTTGCCCTTTCTCAACCACACAAGAAAAAGGATGGAACAGATCATGAGATTCGACTGTTCTGCTGCACACCCTCCACAGGGCACTTTGAATGTCCCTGTTTCTCAGGCTGTAGATGAAAGGGTTCAGCATGGGGGTGACCACAGCGTACATCACTGACGCCACCATACCATTCCTGAGGGGTGGTGCCACAGCTGAAGTCAGGTACACGCCAATGCCTGTTCCATAAAATAAGCAAACAACTGCCAGGTGACAGCCACAGGCTGAGAAGGCTTTGTACTTCCCATCTGATGATGAAATCCTTAGAATGGAGGGGACAATTTTATAGTAAGACAAAAGGATCCCTGAAATGGGAAGAAAACCAAACATAGTATTATCAAAATATATGAATATGCTATTGATGACGCTGTCATAAGAGGCAAGCTTGAGAAGTTGAGATGGCTCACAGACAAAATTAGAGATTTCCACATTCTTGAAGAAGGTGAATTGTAACACAATCCAACTGTGCAGCTGGGAATCCAACAGGCTAAGGAAAAAGGACACCAAAACGAAGAAGACACAGAGGTGAGGATTCACGATGACTGGGTAGTGCAGAGGGCGACAGATGGCTACAAAGCAGTCATAAGCCATCACAGTCAGGAACATGTCTACTATACATGCAAAAAGTACCAAGAAAGACATCTGTGTCAGGCAGCCCCCATAAGAGATGACTCTGCTATGCGACCCCATGTCCACAATCATCTTGGGAACCGTGGCCAAGGTGAAACCGATGTCAGCCCAGCACAGGTTGGAGAGGAAGAAGTACATGGGTGTGTGGGGGTGGGAGTCAGAGCTGACAGCCAGGATGCTGAGCAGGTTCCTCAGCACCGTGACCAGATACATGGACAGGGACAGCCCAGCAAGGATGGTCTGCAGTTCTGGATCCTCTGAGAGTCCCAGAAGGAGGAATTCTCAGACACCTGTGAGATTCCGTGGCTCTGTGTGTCTTGGACACCTTGGGAAGAAAAGAGGATTGGAAAAATAAAAGATAAAAACCAGCCCTTAATGCTGTGTGTATATTTTGGATGCAAGCAATTCACAAGGAACATTTTCACACTTGAGGACCATACACCGTCAGCAATATTTCTCAGCTGTGACAAACCCAAAAATCTCAGAATTATTACATGATTTACTTTTTTCTATTCAACTCCTTCTGTACATACTACTTTGGAGAAAATCTACTGAAGAATGTTAGAAGACCAAAATGTCATATATAACAAATCCATGATCTCAGTAAAATACGGCCTACTCTTTTCGGAAAAAATAAAATGCAATGAAGATGCTCTTCTCTCTCTAAGAAAAAGATCTCAGCCTAATTGAAAGAAATTAAGAAGCAGTGAAATACACTCTGTTTTATTCTGACACCGTGCGACAAATTCCTTTGATGTAGAATATGTAAAAGGATGATACAAGAGCTAGGACCGCATTATCTAAAAATGAAATCGAAACTTAGAGTTCTTAATCGGAAGACTTTTAAACATGCCAGTTACTTTTCATATTTATTATCCTCCTTACATTTTCTGACATCATTTCTTCATAAAAGTACATGCACACTCAAATATGGGAGATGTGTTTCCAAATTAATTGAATATATAACTCTTGGCCGAGCGCCATGGCTCACACCTGTAATCCCGGCACTTTGGGCGGCCGAGGCCGACGGATCACCTGAGGTCAGGAGTTCCAGACCAGCCTGGCCAACGTGGTGAAACCCCGTCTCTAGTGAAAATAAAAAAAAAATAGCCAGGCCTGGTGGCGGGTAACCCTAGCTACTCGGGAGGCTGAAGCAGGAGAATCCCTTAGAACCTGGAAGGCAGATATTGCACACCCTGTGATATTATTTTGGATATCCTAGCGAGATATTGCTCCTGACATCAGAGTGGGCGTACACCCTGTGATATTGTCTGTAATATCCTAGAAAGATGTTGCTCCTAATATCACAGTGGCTGCACACCCTGTGATATTAATTGTACTATCCTACAGAGATATTACTCCTAATAATACAGTGGGTGTACACCCTGTGATATTATTCATAATATATTACGGAGATACGACTCCTGATATCACAGTGAGTGTACACCATGTTTGTACACCCTGTGATATTATTTGTAACAACTTAGAAAAATATTACAGCTAATATCAAAGTGGGTGTACGCCCTGCGATGTTATTTGTTATCTACTCGGTAGATATTACTCCTAATATCACAGTGAGTGTACACCATGTGTGTACACACTGTGAAATTATTCTTAGTACCCTAGGAAGATATTACTCCTAATATCACAGTGGGTGTACACCCTGTGATATTATTTGTAATCACCTAGGGAGATACGATTCCTAATATTCCAGTGGGTGTACCCTGTGCGATGTTGTTTGTAACATCCTAGGAAGATATTATTCCTAATATCAAAGTGGATGTACACCATGTGTGTACACTCTGTGATATAATTCATAATATCCCAGAGAGATATTTCTCCTAATATCACAGTGGGTGTACACTCTGTGATATTATTCATACTATCCTAGAGAGATATTGCTCCCCGTATCACAGTGGGTGTACGCCCTGTGATATTATTCATCATATCCTAGAGAGACATTACCTCTAATATTACAGTTTCTCTACACCCTGTGGTATTATTCATAATATCCTAGGGAGATATTTTTCCTAACATCACAGTGCGTGTACACCATGGGTGGACACCCTGTGATGTTTCTCGTCATATCCTAGGGGGATATTACCCTTAATGTCACAGTGGGTGTACGCCACGTGTGTACACACTGAGATGTTACGCGTAATATCCTAGGGAGAAATTACGCCTAAAGTTACACTAGGTGTACACCATGTGTTTATATTCTCTGATGCTATTCGTAATATCTTAGAAAGTTATTAGTCCTAGTGCCACAGTGGGTGTATACCATGTGTGTACACTCTGTGATGTTCTTGGTATTATCCTAGGGAGATAGTTCTCATAACACCACCATGGGTGTACATCATGTCTTTACTCCCTGTGGTGTTATTGGTTATGTCCTGGGTTGATATTACTCCTAATATCACCGTGAGTGCACACGTGGGGGTACACGTGGGTGTACATTCTGTGATGTTATTCGTAATATCCTAGGGAGATATCACTCCCTGTGTCATAGTGGGTGTACGGCCTTGTGATATTCTTGGTAGTATCCTTGGGACGTATTACTCCTGTTATCACACTGGGTGTACACCCTGTGATAGTATTTGTCATATCCTAGGGAGATATTACTGTATACCTTGTGATATTATTTGTGATATTTTAGGGAGCTATTTCTCCTAAAGTCAGAGTGGGTGTACACCCTGTAATATTCTTCCTAATATCACAGTGGGTGTACACCATGAGTGATATTTTTTCTAATATCCAGCGGGTAAGAGGATGATATTGCTTCCAATATCACAGAAGGTGTACACCCCCCTGTGATATTGTTCTTAATATCCAGGGAAGGAGAGGATAACATTATTCCCAATATCACTGGTGGTGTACCATCTCCCGCCGGGATACTGTTCTTAATATCCGGAGGTGGAGAGAATGATGTTACTCCCAATATCACAGGGGGTGTACACCACCCCTGTTTGTAAACACCCCCTGTGATATTGTTCCAAATGGCCTGTGAAAGAGTAAATATGACTCCCATTATCGCGGGGGGTGTTCAGCCCTGATGATATTGTTTTCTAACATCCAGGGAAGGAAAGTATGCTATTACTCCCAATATCGCAGGGGTTGTACACCCTTTTGTGTTTTTGTGCGCAATATCCAGGAAAATAGAGCATGATATTACTCCCAATATCGAAGTAATTGTACAGCACCCCTGTGATGTTCTTCCTAATATCCAGAAAGGAAAAGAATGATATTACTCCCAACAGCGTAGGAAATGTATACCCGCGCTGTAATATCTTTCCCAATATCCAGGTGGAGAGAGGATCATATTACTTCCAATGTCACAGGGTGTGTACACCCCTCTGTGATCTTGTTGCTAACTTCCAGCTTTGGGGAGGACGACATTACTCCCAATATCGCAGGGGGAGTACACTCCCCCGTGACCTTGTTAGTCATTTCCTGGGTGGAGAGGATGATATTACTCCCAATATCGCAGGGGGTGTACACTTCCCTGTGAAAATCTTCCTCATATCCAGAGGGAGAGAGAATGGTATTACTCCCAGTACCGCAGGGGGTTTACACAGCCCTGTGATACTCTTCCTAATATACCCAGGGAGAGAGGATGATATCACTCCCAATATCGCAGGGGGTGTACACAACCCTGTGATATTGTTCCTAATATCCAGAGCGAAAGAGGATGATATGACTGTCAATATCGCAGAGGGTGTACACCCCTCCTGTAATATTGTTCTGAATACCCTGGGAGGGAGAGGATAAGGTTACGTTGAATATGGCAGGGAATGTACACCCTCCCCCCTCTGATACTCTTCCTAATGTCCAGGGGAAGAGAGGAAAATTTTACTCCCAATATCGCAGAGGCAGTACACCCCACCTGTGATGTTGTTCCCAATATACAAGGGGGGAGAGGATGATACTACTCTCAATATCGCAGGGCTGTTCACATCCCCAGTGACTTTTTTCCTAATATCTACGGGAGAGACAATTATATGACAGCAAATATCGCAGGGTCTGTACATCCCTTCCTGATATTGTTCCTCATATCCAGGGTGGAAGAGGATGATATCAAATATGAAAGGGGCTGTACACCCCCCACCCCTATGATATTGTTCTTAATATTCATGAGGGGAGACGATGATATTACTCCAAATATCGCAGGGGTTGTTGACACACCCCTGTGATATTGTTTCTGATATCTGTGGGGGAGAAAATCATATTACTTCCAATATTGCAGGTGGTGTATACCCCACCTGAAATATGGCACCGAATATCCAAAGAGGGAGAGGATGGTATTCATACCAATATCAAAGTGTGTGCACACGCCCCTTGTGATATGGTTTTTAATATCCAGTGGGCGGGAGGATGATATTAGTCCCAACATCCCAGAGGGTGTACACGACCCCTGTGATATTGTCCCTAACTCCCAGAGGGGAGAAGATGATATCACTCCCAATATCTCAGAAGTTGTACATCCCCCGTGATATTGTTCATCATATCCAGGGAGGCACAGGATGACATTCCATTGAATTTCATGACAGGCCTACAAGCACAGTGTGATATTGTTCCTAATATCCAAGAAGGGAGAGGATGATACTACTCCCAATAAAGCAGTGGGTGTACATCACCCCTGTGTTATTTTCTCTAATATCCGGGGCTGGGGGAGGTGGGGAGAGGATAACATTCCCTCAAATTTAGCAGGTGGTTTGACGCCCCTTGTGGTGTTGTTTTAAATATCCAGCAGGGAAGACAACAGTACTATTTTTGATAGTCCGATTCATCCGCTCCACCTTTCCAGAACTCTGAGGCTGGGAGGCGGCATGCAGTTTCCGTGTGATCCCCAATACCTTTGCCGTCTTCTGTACCAAGGCAGCCAAAAATGCAGGCCCGTTGTCTGAGCCGATCCATAAGGGCGGTCGAAATCTACGAATCAGATCTCGAAGAAGGACAGGGGTTACTTCACGAGTTTTCTCAGTTCGTGTTGGATAGGCCTCCACCCACCCAGAGTAGGTACGCCCAAGAACTAGTACATACTTGTTACCTCCACACTTTGGCATCTCTCTGAAGTCTACCTGGAGATCTTCAAAGGGGGCTGCTCCATAAGCTTGTATGCCGGGCGGAACGGCTGGACCTTGCCTCGCATCATGCTGTCGGCAGGTAACACACCGCTGCCTCACCGTTTTGGCAAGGGCTGACAGAGGCGAGATGTAGAAATACCAGCCTAACAACTTTTCCAGTGACTCCTGACCTCAATGGGTGGTTTCTTGCACAGCCAGTACAACTGCAGCTCCTAGCAGCTGTGGCACAGCTAGTCTCCCATCTGGTAACCGAATCCATCCTTCCTCGATCACTTGTCCTTCCCTCTACCTGGAGAAAGTCCTTTTCTTCTTTAGAAGAAGTAGGTCCAAGATCAGGTGCTTGAGGGAGCACTGATGCCCGGAAGGGGGCAGATGCTGCTTTTTGAGCCTCTGAGTCAGCGGGGGAATTCCCCAAACCCAGCAAGGTGGAAGCTCTCTGGTGTCCTCTGCAATGCATAACTGCCACCTTGTGGGGTTTCCATACTGCTTCTAATCATTGCAAGATTTCTTGTTGATATTTTCTGTCTTTTCCCCCAGAGTTCAGTAGGCCCTTTTCTATCACGCTCCATGCACTTGAAGGGTTAAAAAGACATACCAAGAATCAGTGTAAATGTTGACAGTCTCACGCTTACTGAGTTCTAAGGCATGAATGAAAGCAATGAGTTCAGCTTTCTGGGCTGCAGAGGCCTGCGGCAAGGATCTGGCTTCAACAACAGTGTCCAGGGTTATCACTGCATACCCTGCACCTCTCTCTCTCCTTGGGGGTTGAAGAAGCTGCTCCCATACACATATAGTTCCCAGTCTCCTGATGCCCAAGGCTGGTCCCAGAGGTCAGGTCTGCTAGAGTCAACTGAATCCAACACTTCTACACAATCAGGCTCGACAGTGCTCTCTGATACCGGGAGCAAGGTGGCAGGGTGTAGGGTGTTACAAACTTCAATGGTTATACGGGGATTCTCACAGAGCAAAGTTTGGTACTTGATGAGTCTGGCATCCGTTAGCCAATGATGTCCTTTAGTATTCATTAAAGTCACCACAGCACGGGAGGCCTTTATGTTCAGGTTTTGCCCAAGAGTCAGCTTATTTGCTTCTTGTACTAGCAGGGCAGTTGCTGCCAAGGCCCTCAAACAGGGGGGCCATCCTTTAGAAACCCCATCTAGTTGTTTAGAGAGGTAGGCCACCAGTCTCAGCCAGGGCCCCACAGTTTGGGTTCAAAGTCCAGCTGACATCTTTTCTCTCTCTGACGCATACAATGGAAAAGGCTTTGTCAGATCGGGTAGACCCAGGGCTGGGGCTGCCAGAAGTTTTTCCTTTAACTCATGAAAGAGTTGCTGTTGTTGGGATCCACATTCCAAAGCTTCCTGATCCCTGCCCCCTTTGTGACCTCATACAAAGGCTTGGCTAATACTGCAAAGTTTGGGATCCACAGTCTGCAAAACCCCACAGCTCCTAAGAATTCTCTCACCTGCCTTCTGGCCTTAGGCTCCGGTAGATTGCAAATGACCTGCTTTCTTTCTGATCCCGGGCTGCCTTCCAACCCCTGTCAGATAGTAAATCCCAAGTAAGGTACCTGCTGTTGGCAGATCTGAGCTTTCTTCTTGGACACCTTATACCCACAGTCCTCCAGGTGCCGGTGTGGGGCATCCGTTCCCGTGGCACACCCGACTGCCGTGGGGTGTCCCAGCAGAAGGTCATCAACCTACTGGAGCAACACGCAGCCTACGTCTCTGGTGGGAAACTTCTGGAGGTCTTGAGCCAACGCCTCCCCGAAGATGATGGGGGAGTTCTTGAACCCTTGGGGAAGTCTGGTCCAAGTGTACTGAGTAGTGACACCTGACTCCGGATCTTCCCACTGAAAGGCAAACAGCTTCTGCCTCTCAGGGGCTAATCTGATAGGAAAGAAAGCGTCTTTCAGGTCCAAGCAAGTGAACCAGCTGTCCTCAGCTGGCAGCAACCCCAACAATGTGGACGGGTTAGGTACTGTTGGATGTAAAGTGAGTGTAGCTTGATGAAGCAAGTGCAAATCCTGTACCGGCCGGTAGTCCTTGGTCCGTGGCTTGGGAACAAGCAGGAGGGGAGTGTTCCATGGAGACTAACAAGGAACAATAATTTCAAAAGTTCTTAGGTGCTTGAGACAGACCTGGATACCTTGAAGAACTTCTCTGGGGACTGGGTCCTGTTTTTGCCTCACCGTCTGGGCCCCAGTCTTAACTGGCCAATCCCAGAGGGTTGTCTTCTGCCCATACTCTTGGCCACCACTTAGCCAGAGCTGGTCTTCTCTCTTGGCCTGGCTCAGTTAAGAAAATTCTCCATTCCTCCTCTTGGGGGACTGTAAGGGTCATAATGACTCCCGTTCCAGGTAACTTTAGCAGCAAAGAGCCATGCTTTGTCAAAGACATAGTGGCTCTCAGCTTGCTGAGCAAGTTCCTTCCCAAAAAGGTCAAGGGACAGTCAGGCATGTACCAAAACTGATGAATGACTTTATGTCCTCCTACAGTACAAGTCCGAGACAAGCAGAAAGCTTGCTTTGCTGAAACCCTCATGGCTCCGATGGCGTCAATAGTCTTTTTGGATAAGGGGGTGACCAGGGCAGTTACTAGTGAATGTTCAGCACCGCTATCTTCAAGAAAATCAATGTCTCTACCCCCGACTGTCATTCTGACCAGAGGCTCTTTGGGAATGCTTGAGCCCGCTCTCCCTCAGTCCAATAACCCTTCTGCCAGGTTGAGCAGGGCCCATTCCTCCTTGTCCGGGGCCTCCTGTTCTGAGTCATCTTGTTTTCTTTTGAGCTGAGAGCATTTATTCTTCCACTGTCCTATTTCTTTACAATAAGCACACTGGTTACACTGCAAACTCTGACAGCCAGGCTGAGTTTCTTTCCCAGGGCCCCCCTTCCCTTGCCTCTTTGGGGGGCCCCTGTGATTGCTGCAGCTAACAGGTCAGTATTTTGCCGGCCCTGACCTCCCTTCTCTTTGCTGTTTTCCTTAGGGCTTACTGCATCCCTGTTTACAAACACCTGGCTAGCTATTTCTAGTAATTGTGATGGATTCATCCTTGCAAGCCCAGCCTGTTTCTGCAGTTTTCTTCTCATGTCTTCTGCGCTTTGATGGACTAAAGCCATGTTAATCATGCGCTGATTTCAGGGCTATCAGGATCAAAGGGATTATACATAAGATAGGCCTCACACAGTCTCTGGTAGAATTGTGCTGGACTTTCTTCTTTCCCTGAATGACCTCAGAGACCTTGTTAACGTTTGTGGCCTTCTGAGCTCCCCTCTTGAATCCTTCCAAGAGAGCTTCCCTGTCTCGATTTAGCCTTTGCATATCCTCTCTTTCATGTGGGTACCACTGGGGATCGGGTCCTGGTAACTGGGTCCTTACACACTCTTAGGGGTTTTGATAATCAGCTGGTGCATGTTCCTCTAGCCACTTAGTTGTTGCTTGGAGCACTCTCCGCCTTTCATCTCTGCTGTAGAGGAACATGAGCAACTGCTGGCAATCAGCCCAGGTGGCATTGTGGGTCTGGATAATAGTTTGGAGCAAATCAATTAGAGCTTGTGGCTTTTCGGTATAGGACGGGGTGTTGTTTTTCCAGTTGAGAAGGTCGGCAGAGGTGAAGGGCTGGTAAACAAAAACACGCCTCTCCACCACGTGACCATCTCATCTATCCTAGGATACCGCTGCTCTCTCAGGGGCATTTGTATCCCCGTTTTGGGTCGTAAACGAGCTGCCAAGGGAGGGGTTTCTCCGGAGTCTTCACCTCCTCTCTTGTCTACTCTGGGGGGCCTAGGGATATGCTTGTCTCGCGGAGGCAAGCACTGTGGGCTCAAGAGTGGGGAGCCTCTTGCCCTGGTAAGGGTAGAGCACCACTGGGATGTCTGGTGCCATCTCCTGCAATGGATCTTCTGATGTTGGGTCGAAGAGAACTTCAGGAGTTGATTTCCCTGGGCGGGTGGAGCGGGATCGTTCCTTAGCTATCTGTCCCTTTGCTACTAGTATTGCTGCTGCCTGCCCTCTTAGCCACTGTGGGGGGTCTAGCACCAGCTGTCACCAAGTGTCTATGTATGGGAACTGCTCTAGGTATCCTTTACCAGTTACCTTGTGCCACACCTTAGAAACAAGGGACCTGTCCAGGCTTCCTTCTGATGGCCAACCCACTTCTAATGGTAGGCAATCTATTTCGCACAAGGTTCTAAGTTCCCCTGGTGGTCTATCGGTTAGGATTCAGACCTCTCACCACTGCTACCCATGCTCGATTCCTGGTCAGGGAACCAAGAAATGGAGCAGGAAAACTTCTCAGACAGCCCATTAAAGAAAGAAGAGGGTTTTTTATTCGGCCAGGAGGAGCGTCGGCAGACTCCCATCTTAAGAGCCCAGCTACCCTAAGAAAGAGAGTTCCTGGCCCCTTTAAGGGCTTAAAACTCTAAGGGGTTCCACGTGAAAGGGTCGTGATGGATGAAGTAATGTCACCGTCTACCCTGGCTATCAGGAAGAACATCACTGGGGGGTGTATATTTTCTGCGATATTGTGAGGAACGTCGCAATATTTCTTATCGCAATTAATATCAATTATTAATTGACACTAATAATTATCAATATTAATAACTGATAATATAATTTTAAACATCAATACCAAAGATAATGATAATTAATATTAAATAGTTATACTAATGATAACAATAAATGATTAATATTAATGATTAATAACACCTGATATTAATAACTGATACTGATCTTATCATTAGAAAACACTATTAGCTCCTAATAATTTATATTAATATTAATAATATGAAAAATTTTATTAGCAGTTATTTCTTAATATTAATATTGGTAATTCATATTCATGTTAATAAATGAGTAATAATTAATACTCATACTACGTCTAATACCTCAGTGGGTGTACACCCACCTGTGATATTGTTCCTAATGTCCAGGGAGGGAGAGAGCATGATATTACGTTCAATATCGCAATAGGTGTACACCTACGCGGTGATATTCATCCGAATATAACATCCAGGGGGTGGAGTATGACGTTACTCCCAGTATAGCAGTGGGTGTACATCCACCCGGTGATATTGCTCCTAATATTCACGGAAGAAGAGAATGCTATTACTCCCAGTATCGCAGGAAGTGTACACAACTTCTGTGATATTGTTCCTAATATCCGGACGGGGAGAGGGTGATATTACCCCCAATATCGCAGGTTGTGTACAGCCACCCTGTGATATTGTTCCTAATAGCCAGGAAGGGAGAGGACGATATGACTCCCCATACAGCAGGAGGTGTACACCCACCCTGGGATATTATTCCTAATATCCATGGAGGAGAGGCTGATATTACTCCCAATATCGCAGGGGTTGCACATCCATTCTGTGATATTGTTCTCAATATTCAAAGGCCGAGAGGTTGATATTACTCCCAATATCACAGAAAGTGTACAAACCCGTGTGATATTGTTGCTACTATCCAGAAGAAGAAGAGGATATTACCCCCCATATCGCAGGAGGTGTACACCCACTCTGTGATATTTTTCCTAATAAGCAGGACGGGAGAGGACAATATTCTTCTTAATAGCGCCGGGTGTGTAGAGCCCCCCTGTGATATTGTCCCTAATATTCCAAGGCGGAGAGGATGATATTACTCCCAATACCGCAGAAAGTGTACACCACCCCAGTCATATTGTTCCCATGATCCAGGCGAGAAGCGGAAGATGTTACTTTCAATATGGCATGGGGTGGACACGCCCCCAGTTATATTGTTCCTAATTTCAACGTGGGAGAGGATGATACTACACCCAATGCCGCTGGGGGTAAAAACAGTCCTGTAATATTGTTCTTAATATCCATGGGGAAGAGGATGCTATTATTGCAAATAGTGCAGAGGATGTACCCCCGACTGTGATATAGATGGTAATTTCCAGAGAAGGAGAAGATATTACTGCCAATAAGGTAAACACGCTGTGTGACCACCGTGGACCGCAACATCCAGGGGAGCAGAGAGGTGAGGATATTACTCCCCGCATCGCGGGGGCGCCCGCACCCCTGAGATGTGGATCGTAATATCCAGGGGGGGAGAGGGGTGGGATATTACTTCCCGCATCGCTGGGGGCGCTGGGCCCCTGTGATGTGGATCATAATATCCAGGGGGGGAGAGGGGTGGAGATATTATTCTATTACTCCTTGAGTCTTTTCTCTTCTGCCACACTTGATTAACACCCTGGGACATTATTTTCCATATTCTAGCAAAATGCCATTACTAAAGTCACAGGAGTATTCACCCTGCGATGTTATTCGTAATATTGCGTGGAATGTTAATTCTGATGTCACAGGACTCTACGCACTGTGATATTATTTCCAATAGCCTAGCGGGACACTAATAAGTGTGTCACAATGTGTGTACAACTTGTGGTGTTATTCCTAATCTCCTAAGGGGAGGTTACTTTTATCGTCAGTCGGGGTATATTCTTTTTGATATTGTTCATAGTATCCTAGTGGGATGTCACTCCTTATGTCACAGGGTTTGTACACGTTGTCAAATTACTCTCATTATCCTTATCAGATGTCACTTCTCATATCACAGAGGTTGTACACGCTGTGATATTACCGTCATATTCTAGGGAAATGTTACTTTTCATATCACAGAGGGTGTACAACTTGTGAAATTATTCGTTATAGTTTTGTGGGATGTTACCCTAATGTCATACGGGGTGTACACACAGTGATACTACGTGCAATATTCTATCAAAATGTTACTCATAAATCACAGGTCCTGTACACCCTTTAATATTCTTCATAATATTCTGGGAAAACCTTCCTAGTAATGTCACAGGGCGTGTAGACCCTGTCATGAAATTCGTAATATCCTAGCAGGAGTTCACTACTAATTTCACAATGTGTGTACACCCTTTGATATTATCGTGTTATCCTGAAGAGATGTTACTACTGATGTCCAAGGCAGGTGCATTCTCTGATATTATTCGTTATGTCCTCGGGGGATGTACTTCTAATGTCACACGGGGTGTACTCCCTGTGTTCTATTTCATAATATCCTAGGGCAATTTTACTTTTAATGACACAGTGTGTGTACACATAGTGATATTATTCGTGATATTCTAGAAAGATGTTTCTCCTAATGTCACAGGGGTGTACACCCTGTGTTAGTATTCATAATTTCCCAGAGGTGTATACTCCTATTGTCACACTAGATAATCCCCTGTGACATTATTTGTAATATTCCAGGGAGATGATACTCCTAATGTCACAGGGGGTGTACACCCCATCATATTATTCTTACTATTCTAGAGAAATGTTACTCTTAAAGTCACAGGTGTGTTCCTTCTGTGATATTCTTGAAAATATGTTAGCAAGATATTACTACTAATGTCACAATGCGTGTACACCTTGTGATATTATTAGCAATATTCAGGGTGTTGTTACTCCTAACGTTACAGGGGTGTACACCGTGTGATATTGTTCCCAATATTGTCGGTGGATGTTTCTCCTAATGTCACAGGGGGTGTCCCCTCTCGATATTATTTGTAATCTTATAGAGAGATGTTACTGTAAATATCACAGTGGGTGTACACACATGGGGTACCCCCACTGGGATATTATTTGTAATATCTTTGAGAGATATAACTCCTAATATCACAGTGGGTGTACCCCATGTGTGTACACCTTGTGATATTATTTGTAATATTCATGGTAAACATTACTTCTAGTAACCCACCAGAGAGTACACCCCGTGATATTTTTCATAATATCATAGGGAGATATTGCTGCTAATAACACAGTGGGTGTACACCATGTGTGTACATTCTTGTGATATGATAGCTTATATCCTAGGGAGATATTCCTTCTAATATCACAGTGAGTTTACACCCTGTGATATAATTCATAATATCCTAGAAAGATGTTGCTGCTAATATCACAGAGGGTGTGCCCCCAGTGACATTATTTGTAATATCCTAGGGAGATGTTACTCCTAATGTCACAGGGGGTGTACACCCTGTTATATTATTCATAATATTCTAGGGGGGTGTTACATTTAAAGTCACAGGGTTTTACACCCTGTGATGTTATCCGTAATATCCTAGGAAGAGGTTACTCCTACTATCACGGGTTATCCTAGGAAGAGGTTACTCCTCATATCACACTCCTAATATCACACCCTGTGATAACATTCAGAATCTCCAAAAGGGATGTTACTCTTAATGTCACATAGGGTGTACACCTTTTGATATTATTCGTAAGATCCCAGGGACATATTACTTCAACTATCACATTGGGTGTACACACATGTTGTACACATCATGTGTGAACACCTACTGTGATATTATTCATAATATCCTTGGGAAATGGTACTCCTAATATCACAGTGAGTGTACACACTGTGATATTATTAGTAATATCCTATGGGAATATTACTCCTAAACCAAAGGCCTGTGTACCCCCTATGATATTATTCATAATATTTTAGGGAGATGTTATTCCTAATGTAATATCACAGGGGTGTACACCCTGTGATATTATTCACAGTATATGAGAGGGATATTAGCACTGAAGTCACAATGTGTGTGCACCTTGTGATATTATTCATAACATCCTACGGGGATGTTACTCCTATTGTCACAGGGGTTGTGTTCACTATGATAGTATTTGCAGTCTCCTAGACGGATATTACACCTAATGTCACAGGGTGCGTACATCTTGATATATTATTCGTGATATCCTAAAGAGACATTACTCCTCATGTCACAGGGGCTGTATATACCCTGTGATATTATTCATAATATCCTAGCGAGATGTTACTTTTAATGTCACAGAGGGTGTGCACCTTTTGAAATTATTCATCACAGTTTCGTGGGATGTTACTCCTAATGTCACACGGAGTGCACACCGAAGGATACTACTTGTAATATTCTATAGAAATGTTACTCATAAATCACAGGTGTTCTACACCCTGTAATGTTATGGGTCATATTCTAGGGGAATGTGATATAAATTAATGTCACCCGGTGTGTACACCTTGTGATATTATTTGTAACATCCTAGCGGGATGTTACTACTAATGTCACAATATGTGTACACCCTCTTTCTTATATCCTCATGGGTTATTCCTCCTATGTCACATGGGGTGTACTCCCTGTGACATTATTCAGAATATCTTAGCGGGATTTTACTTTTAATGTCACAAATGGTGTACACATTGTGATATTACTCATGATGTTCTAGAAAGATGTACTCCTAATGTCACAGGGGGTGTACACCCTGTGATATTACACAGGCTAACCCCCTGGGGCATTATTCTTAGTACTTTAGCAGGATGATACTCCTAAAGTCACAGGAGGTGTATGCCCTGTGATATTATTCAGAATATTTCAGGGGGATATTACTCCTAAAGTCACAGGTGCGTATACCCTGTGATAGTATTCACACTAGCGGGATATTACTACTAATGTCACCGTGTGTGTACACCTTCTGATATTATTTGAAATATCCTGAGAGGATGTTACTCCTAGCATCACAGGGGTGTATACCCTGTGTTATTATTAGTACTATTCTAGGGGGATTTTACTTTTAAAATCACAGGGTGTGTCAACCCTGGGATCTTATTCATAATATCCTAGGAAGCTGTTACTCGCAATGTCACATGGGGTGTACACCCTGGGATATTATTTCAAATATCCTAACGGGATGTTATCTTAAGGTCATAGGGTGTGTACACCCCTTGATCTTATTAGTAATATCGTAGGAAGGAGTTACTCACAATGTCACAGAGGGTGTACACCCTGTGAAGTTATTCATAATAGTTTTGGGGTCCGCTACTCCTAATGTCACCCGTAGTGTACAAACAGTGATATTATTCCTAATATTTTATGGAAATGTTACTCCTAATATCACAGGGGCTGTACACCTTGTAATATTATTCATAATATCCTAAGGTAATGTTACCTCTAATGTCATGGGGGGTGTACACCGTATGACATGGCTCCCAATATTGTAGGGAGATGTTACTCCTAATATCACAGGGGGTATTCACACTGTGATAATATTCGTAATATCCTAAATGGATGTTACTGCTAATGTCACAACACTTGTGCAGCCTCTGTATTTGTTCCTTATATCCTTGGCTGAGGTTACTTCTACTGTCACACGGGGTGTACTCCCTGTGATATTATTCATAATATCCTAGGTGGATGTTACTCCTCGTGTCACAGGGGCTGTGCATCTTGTGATATTATTCACAATATCCTAGAAAGATGTTACTCCTCAGGTCACAGGGGATGTACACCCTGTGGTATTATTCATACTATCCTAGGGGAGTTACTCCAAATGTCACAGAAGGTGTATACTCTGTGATATTACTCGTAATGTGTCAGGGAAATGTACTCTTAACACCACAGGGCATGTGCACCATGTGTGCACAGCCCCTGTGATGTTGTTTGTAATATTCTTGAGGGATGTTAATCCTAACATTCCATATGATGTTAACCATGTGCGAACACCTTTGTGGTATTATTCCTAACATACTAGGAGGATGTAACTCTTAACATCACATGGGGTATACGCCATGTGTGTACACATTCTGTGATATTATTCATAACATTGTAGGGAGATGCTACTCCTAATTTTACAAGGTGCGTACATTATATGTGTACTCCCCCTCTGATGTTATTCGTAATATTCTAGGGGAATGTTGCTGCTAATGTCACAGGGACAGTACACCATGTGTATGCAACCCTGGTAATATTATTTCTAATATCTTGGGGGAATGTTGCTCCTAATGTCACCTGGAGTGTACACCATATGTGTACACCTTCTATGATATTATTCATAAATCACAGAAAAAGATTACGCCTAATGTAACAGGATGTGTACACCGTGTGCGTCAACTGCCATTGATATTATTCGTAATATACGAGGGGGATGTGACTTTTAATGTCACAAAGGGTGTACAAAATGTCACAGAGTGGGTATGCCTTATGATATTATTCCTGATATCCAGAAGGATGTTACTCCTAAGGTCACAGGGGGTGTACACCCTTTGATACTATTTGTAGTCTTATAGGGAGATATTACTGTAAATCTACAGTGGGTGTACATTCACTGTGATATTATTTGTAATATCTCAGAGATATTACAGAGTTATAGCTCTCTGTGTTATATTAGAGAGTTTTGTCTCTCTAAGACAATATGAATAATACCACAGTGCGTGTACCTCATGTGTGTACACCCTGTGATATTATTTGTAATATCCATAGTAAACATTACATCTAATATCACAGAGAGTGTACTCCCTTTGATATTTCTCATACTATCATAGGGAGATATTGCTTCTAATATCACAGTGGGTGTACACCATGCGTGTACATTCTGTGATATGATACCTTATATCCTAGGGAGATATCTCTCTGAATATCACAGCGTGTGTACACCTTGTGATATTATTCATATATCATAGAAGGATGTTACTCCCAATATGACAGAGGGTGTACACCCAGTGATATTCTTCATAATATCCTAGGGAGATGTTACTCCTAATGTCACTCGGGGTGTACACCCATGATATTATTCGTAATATTCTAGGGGGATGTTACTTTAAAAGTCACAGGGGGCGTACACCCTGTGATGTCATTCGTAACATCCTAAGAAGATGTTACCCTTAATGTCACATGGGGTGTACACCCTGTGATATTACTCAGAATATCTTATGGGGATGCTACTCCTAATGTCACAGGCTGTGTACACCCTGTGATATTATTCAGAATATCCACAGAGATGTTACTTTTGATGTCACAGACGGGGTCCACACTTTGATATTTTTTGTCATATCTTAGGGAGATATTACTTCAAATATCACAGTGGGTATATACCCACTGTGATGTTATTTGCAATACCCTATGGAAATATAACTTTTAATATCACAGTAGGTGTACACGCTATTTGTGTACACCTTCTTAGAGTTTAAAGGCTTGTGGACAGATGTTTTGAATAAACTAAGCTTCTTAATATATATAAAAAAGGCAAGTTAAAACTGGTATTTATTCTTCTTCAAAATATTTTTCTGTAGTCAATGTAAGTATTTAAGAAGTTGTCAGCGTTTTTAATCTTAAGGAAGTCGGTTGGGGTCCATACCTTATGTCAACTGCACAGATTGTATAGTGTCCAAAGTACCTGTGCATAACATGGGAAGACAAAGGAGGTGGCTCCAGGCTGCCCCGCAGAGTGCCTGGTATTAATCTGAAAACAAACTGTGCCTCTACTCATCGCCAAGCAAACGCTGACTTCACTGGTGCCTGTTGTCTTCATTAGAAGCTCTGCATCAAAACAAATACTCTAATAAATATGCTTGTTATATTTTATTATCTATTCTAGAGATCATCTTTTCATCTTTTTAACTTACCCACATTTTATGTCCTTTGATGCCTTTAACAGGCCCACCAGGGTTTCAGTTAAATAAACAAACTGTTAGGCTGAGAAACTATGTCAAATGGGCACAACTGGCAGGCTATTAATAAATCTAGACACTTAAGAATTTTAGCCTTGACAGAGATACTCCAGTGGGAAATAAACTTAAAATATTCTAGCCCAAAGAAGCCCCCAGCAATGACTCAGTCCAAATAGCGTGAAATATATAGTGTATTTCAGATCTTCCTGGGCTCTGCAGGAATTTGAATTAATCATCTTTTAGACTCATCCTGGGTCAGGAGGAAAGACATTCATTGCTTGGTTAACTATCTGGGAATTTTTTTTCCCTAGCCTGTGTTGGGGAAAGAAGGAATATTTGTTGAGGGACTCTTTTTTTTTTTTTTTTTTTTTTTGAGACAGCGTCTTGCTCTGTCATCCAGGCTGGAGTCCAGTGGTGTGATCACAGCTCACTGCAACTGCAGTCTCGACCTCACAGGCTCAAGCAATCCTCCTGCCTCAGCCTCCTGAGTAGCTAGGACTAGAGGAATGGGCCACCACACCTGGCTAATTTTTGTGTTTTTTGTCGAGACAGTGTGTCGCCATGTTGCCCAGGGTGGTCTTGAACTCCTGGACTCAAGCGACCCACCCGCTTTGGCCTCCCAAAGTGCTGGGATTACAGGCATGAGCCACTGCACCCAGCCATGTTGAGGGACTCTTGAAGTTAATTTGCAGATTTCCTGCACACCCTAATGGGCACTGAGCCCCCAGAAAAGCGAGGAATTCTAAGGAATGCCTCCCTGCACTGCAGGGGAGGTTCGGCAACCTCTGTGCTCTCATCCATTCAGGGAATGCATGCTCCCAAGGCAGGCCTGGCTCTACACACAGTACAATATGGTCCCTCCCTGCAGGGAGCTTACAGTCTGGAGAGGAAGATAATTAAGCAAGTAGAGTAAAAAGAGTGAATTTTCACGGAGTAAATTGTTTTCTCCTCACCTCCAGAGGCCTGGCATGGTGAGCCCCCGCATTCTGAACTCACTTTCTATCACACTGCCCCGTCTACTTTGCTGCAGCCACAGAGGCTGCCATCTTGCTGCTCCTCAAATGAGTCAACCTTGCTCCTGACTCAGGGCCTTGCACTTGCTGTGCTGCCTGCCTGGAGCTCTCTTTCCCCAGGCCATGGACACCTCTGAGGCTTCCTCACAGCACTAAAGATACACCCTCTCACCCTCCTCGATTCACACACCCCACTCACTGGCTTTTTCTCTTTATAATTATTCCTTTGTGACCTGCTCATGTTCTTAACAGCACGTGCCAGCATTTGAAATGAGGCCAGGTGCTGATTGCTGCTGGCATCCCCATCAGAATGTAAGCACCCTGCAGGCAGGGCCCTCAGCTGTCCTGTCTACTGCAATTTCCCCAGAACAATGCCTGGCACTGATCAGTATAGGCGCGCAGTAAAGACTTGTTGATAAGTAAGTGTAATACTAGAAGCACACGGTGTTCAGGGAACGCATTCTGGGGTGATTAGGGTAGGCTTCCCAGAGAAAGTGATATTTGTGGGAGTTTCCAGGATTTGGAGAAGAAGAGAGTCACTAAGGAGGGGAGGCAGAGAAAGCATGAAGGGCTGGCTGCAGAAATCGCATTTGAGGGCTGCACCAGCAATCTCGATGATCGCAAAATATCGGCAAAAGGCGAGAGGTGAGAAAGAGCCCCTGCATCTGGCCTTTGGCACAGTATCTGCTGAGCTCTCAGAATAAGCTTGCTTGCAGCAGAGCTGCCCCTCAACCACCCCTGAGAGAAGACAACTGGAGGGACACGCGTTGCTCCATGGCGCCACTTTGTGGCCAGAGCCCTTGGAAGCAGGCGCGTGTGTTCATCGCTTGTGTCTGGCTGGACATCTCCCTCCTCTGATTTTCTGATGGCCAAACAAACACACAATACTGTAGCAAAGTGGATCCTTTGGGAAAACCCCTCCTCAGTCTTGGCATTTGTAAGGATTGTATCTTGTTTAAAGGTGGGCTCTGCTGGACAATCATAATCACAGCACATACCTATGGAGGGTATGTGCTATCCTATGCTCTGGGGATACTTTGCACATTCATTCACTTAATCCTCACAGTACCGTGACTGTCAGCATCTCCATTTCACACAAGAGGAAGCTGAGGTCTGGAATGCTAAAATGCCAGGGTGCAGGGCTAGTAAGTGGCAGAGCAGGACTCACACCCAGGCCGCTGGCTCCACATCCATGCTCCCCACCATGGCCTGGTGCCACACTAAGGGCAAGAGAGGGCTGGACCTGGACAGCTAAGGGAGGGGTGAAGCAGCCATCAGTGCAGTAGGGAACAAACACCTCCACTGTGATCATCTCTCCCAGCCCAGGCTGTCCCCCAAGGACCCAGAGCCAACGGGGCTGCCAATCAAGTCAGAAAAACTCCACAGTGGAGGACAGTGCAGGGAGCAGCCCCGAGCCTCCCGAGTGTCTCAGGGCACCATGCCAGGGGGTGTCACTCTGCCAGGCTCACCCTGCTCCAATCCTGTGCCAAGAGAGCCCAAATGCTGCCGGGCCTGAGAGTGCAGCTGCGTTCTCAGCCTTGTTCACCATTTATGGTATCTGAGCCTGTCTGGTCTTTATAGCCCAGTACATCCCCCACACTGGGAGGGGGTTCTCTCATGCAGGCCTCTTCTCAGAACAAATCCAAACTTACTTGGCAGAGTTTTTGCCTGGGACCTCTCTGTGCCTTTTTTTTTTTTTTTTTTTTTTTGTGGATGGGTGGTGATCCTTCAGGCCCCAGCCCCCACAGGCCCAGGAGTCAGGAGAATGGCCCTAAAGAGTTCTTGATCTTTCGCCTGGGACTCCCACCTCCAGGGGACTCTTAGCTCAGCTGGGTCACTCTAATCCAATCTAAACACAGGCAAGCCAGGACAGACATTGGATTAGCCCTTGGCTGTGGCTGTGGAGGGAGAGTCTCAGAAAACAGAGGGCTGAGCCATGTGGCTCTACGTGTAGCATTCTGACTCTTGCTGCCCCTTACTCGACTCGGGTTGGCCATGCTGGCCTCCAAGAAGAGCCCCCAGGTGGAAGGTGAGTCCTGCTCCCTGACCCTCAGAGACAAGGTTCTCAGCAGTTCAGGTTTCCTCTGAAATCTCATTATCACAATTTCCTGAGCTCCCCACCTGGCTCCCAGGGAGTCATGAAGTTAGAACTATGAGGATAAATGAGTAAGTTTGTAAACCAGAATCTGGCTGCAAATTCCCAGAGGCCAGAGTTGGGCTCTGAGCCCAGTGTGATAGGTTTCCTGGAAGGAAGAGGTGGACCAGTTTCCCAATAACGACTCTATGCTGAGGCATCTCTTCAGTTAGAGCACCCAGAGAGCATGCTCACTCCTGGCAGAGAGCTTCACGGAGCCAGGCTCGGCCACATTCTCCATCAGTGCCAGTTCCTTCATCCCTAAGGGACTGACACTGCCCAGCCCACAGTGGCCAGTCTTCCCCTTTGGGCCAGGGGACGTGCCCTCTGAAAAAGGTCAGGGCATAGGAATGAGTGCAGACTTGAAAGTCACAGGCTGTGGGCTCCAGGGTCCAGATTTGCAGACTAGTGTGATGTGCTTAGGCAAGTTACATTCACTTCCTGAGACTTCCAGAGCCTTCCATCTGAAATCAGGACAGCATCCTTGTCCCCTAGGCTACTGAGGTCTCAGTGAGAGAATACGGGTGAGGTGAAAGTATTTAACACAGTAAGCCACAAATGTTTCTTCCCCTTTCCTTTTCTGCGAAACTTCCTCCTGCAGCCTCCCAGACAGTGGCTACTCATACAACACGGAGATGTTCCTGACAGGCCTGAGCCCCAGGGAATGGAGAGATGTATCCTCCTGCTTGTCTGATGGGAGACCAGTCACGCTGCACTCAGTGCTAGCACCAGAGGACCCAGTCATGCACAGGAGCCGGGGGCGTAGGCTCAGGGTGATGGTGGGATCAGGCTTACCTGAAAGCCCTGGACCCAAGAAGCACTTCCGTGGGAACTGTCACCAGGCCTGCTGATACCACAGCCCAGACAGATCTGTCTTGAGTCTGTGGCTCCCTGCAATTCCCAGGGACTAAGTGCTTGGCTGATGAATGGATGACCATGATAATCAGATTACTGGAGACCAGGCTGCTGATGTGTAAAAACAAGCCTGGGCCCGTGAGTAGAAAGGGGGCAGAAAGGGGACAACCTGTGACCCTCTGGAAGCCTCAGTGTGCACTCTGTGACCCAGGGTCCCCCAGCATGTAAGGGGTCACTGGGAGGCCACTGACTGCTCAGGGAATACGTGAGTGCTCTCCCAAGTCCTTTTGTAGTGTGCGAGGTTTTCTTCTGACCAGACCTGGAGCTTCTGGAGCTAAGGGAGCCCTATCTCTTTCCCCCATACCTTTCCATGGCCCCAGTGGAGAGAGGGGGTGAGGAAAAGGCCACCTCTGATGACACCCTTGTCGCTGTGAACTCCTGGAGGTCATCTCCCTCACTTCCTACCTGCAGGTGCAGCACTTTTTAAGGACCCTCTCCTCTGTCCCTAAGAGGTTGCAGCAGCCACTCCTCTGTCACGGCACCTGCCGCTGCCAGTGGTGTGGAGTAGTGCCATGTGCACCTCTGCTCCCTGGATTTTAGCTCATGATACCATTTTCTACAAATGTGCCCTTCTTCCAAAGCAGAAGTGTCTGCAGGAAAGGTGCTTCTACTCGGGTGACCAGAGGCTCCTACCACGGACGGTGACCCGGGCGCTACAGGACACCTGCCCCAAGGCATTCTCAGCCAGGCAGGTGTAGGTGCCATGGTCCTCCGGCAGGGCATCCTGGATGTGGAGCTCAGCCACGCCGGCCTCGCAGGTGGAGCGAGCATACTGGATGGGCTGCCCTGTGGAGGAAGCACAGGGAGGCTCAGGCCAGGCAGCACTGGCAGTAGGGATGGGAGCCCTGTCCTCAGCAGGGCTGCTGCTGTCATGACGCTGAGACTTGTCATGCTTGCTCAGATCCATTGAGGGCTAACAATGTGTCATGCACATCTCCAGCTGGGCTAGGTTTGATATCCACTTGGGGCCTGATGCCTACCTTGGGCACGATGTCCATCTAGTGCCTGGTGTCCACTTGGGACCTGGGTATTGACCTGGGGCCTAGGTGTCCACTTCAGGTCTGACGTCCTTTTATCACCCCGGGCCCTGATGTCCACCTCGGGACTGGGTATCCATCTGGGGCCTGATGTCCACCTTGTGTCAGATGTCAATCTGGAGCTTGATGTCTACCTGGGACCTTATGTCCACCTCAGGACTGGTATACACCTTGGGCCTGGTGTCCACCTGGGGTCTGACATACATCTGCAGACTAGGTATGAACATGGGGCCTTGTGTCTACCTGGAGCATGAGTGTCAACCGAGGGCTTGATGTTCACCTACAGTCCAGTGTCCTCCTTGGGCCTATGTCAAATTGAGGCTGGGTATTTACCTGGGGCATGGTTGTCTGCTTGAGGTCTAATGTTGACCACCTAGTTCATGGTGTCAGCCTGGGGCTGGTGTTCACCTGAAGCCTGATGTTCACCTGGGGCCTATTGTCCACCAGAGTCCTGGCATCTGCCTTGAGCCTGATGGCCCCTGGTGACAGGGTATCCACCTTGGGCCTGATGTCAAACTTGGGCGTAGGTATCCACTTAGGAATTAGTATTGACCTGGGGCCCGATATCTACCTAGGACCAGATGTTCAGATGGGGACTGGAGTTCTCTTGGGTCTGGTGTGTACCCGGGGCCTGGGCATCATCCTGGGGCTTGAGGTGCCTCTTGGGATGTCCACCTGGCGCCAAATGTCCACTTGGTGCCTGATGTCTACCTGGGGCTTGGTGTTCACCTGAGTCCTGATATTCACCTGGGGCCTGGGTGTCCATGTGGAACCTGATGTGTGGCTGGGGCCTGGGCTTCCTTCTGGGGCTGGGTATCAACCTGGGGCCTGATGTTCACCAGGTGCCTAGGTATCTACCTGAGGCCTGGGGCCCATCTAGGGCCGGACGTACACCTGGGGCCTAGGCATCCACCTGGGGCCTGATATTCTTCTGGGACTTGAAGTTCACCTGGGTCCTTGTGTCCAGCTACAGCCTGATGTCCACCTAGGGCCTGGTGTTCACTTGGGGCCTGATGTAACCCGGAACTTAGGTGTCCACCTAGGGCCTGGTTTCCACCTGGGGTCTGATATCCACCCAGAGTCTGGTGTTCACCTGGGGCCTTTTGTTCCCCTGAATCATGGGTGTTTACTTGGGGCCTGATGTCTACTGGAGTCCAGCATCTACCTGGGGCCTGATGTTCACCTGGAGCCTGGGTGTCCACCTGGATCCTGGTGTCAACTGGGGACCTGGGTATTTACCTGATACCCGAGTGTAAACCTGTGGCCCATGGACCAGGGGAATATGGAAATTCAGAGGATGGGGCATAGTGACAGGCATGCATGGCTCTGACCATGGATGGAGGGCTGTCACTCTGATTTGTCTGGCTACTTGTGTGGCTCCAAATCATCATTTACAGCATCTTTTTGATGAATCCAACCATTCTGTACTGAAACTTTATTTCTCTGCTTGTTAGGTCTCTAAACCACGCTAGTGGCTGACATTCTTCACTGCAACCCGAGAGCCACCACCTTCTCCCCAAGTGTCTCCCCATGGGTGCACAACAGGTGGCCCTTGCCGAGGGATTGTTCCTGCTGTCACTGCTGCTCACTGAGAAGCCAAAAGGAGGGAAGTCTAGAAGTAACAGAGAGCTCCACCAGCAGGTGGGGAAAGAGAGAAAGGACCTTCAGGACTATCCTTTAACAAGGTCCATGGGCATTATCCCTTGGGCTTTCCTGCAAGGTGTTGGAGATTGGCTGGCTTACAGAAAACACATGTGAAGATAAACTTATTTCCACGACCCTGGTCTTGACCATTAGGTTTTATCATGGTCAGCAGTTGTGGAGAGTGTCGGGTTTAGGGTCAGTGGGATGAAGACCAAACAGGGTATATGGCAAACAACCACAGAGGTGGACAAAGTTGTAACTAGGCAAAAGGAGATGAGGCACACTGGATTTCAAACAACTTATGCCAGGCCTGAAAATGGAAGCCAAAGCAGCAACCATATTAAATACATTTATGACACCAATTGAAGCAGATGTGGTGGCTATTTCAATGTTCACCGATAATTATTACATTTAGGAAAAATTTAGTGGAGATAGCTTTTCACAGAAAGAGTCCTCTGAAACTTTACCAAAAAGTATACAGAAGATAGAGTATTTATATAAAAGGGCCAGTTCTCATTGAAAGGCAAGCTCTGCCATGGAATGGGTTTTCTTTAATGGGTTTATAATGAGCTGCAGGCGGTCATCTAGAGCTATGTTGAATTATGAGGTTATTAATGGTATTGAGGGAAGAAGCAAGTAATCAGCAGTAGAGTTTAATAGCTCTTTAAAAATGCCCTTGACCTGGCACAGAGGCACATGCCTGTAATTCCACACTTCGGAAGGCCGAGGTGGGTGGATCACCTGAGGTCAGCAGTTCGAGACCAGCCTGGAGAACATGACAAAACCCCGTCTCTACTAAAATTACAAAAAAATTAGCTGGGCGTGGTGGCTGGCACCGGTAATCCCAGCTACTCAGGACGCTGGGGCAGGAGAATCCCTTGAACCTGGGAGACGGAGGTTGCAATGAGCCGAGATCGCACCATTGCACTCCAGCCTGGACAACAACAGTGAGACTCCAGCTCAAGAAAAAAAAAATGCCCTTGACCTCAATGAACTGTTTCAAATGTATCTTTTTTTTTAATTCTCTTTTTTTATTTTTAAAATTTTTTATTTTTAAGTTTTGTGGGTACACAGTAGGTATATAAATTTATGGGGGACATGAGATGTTTTGATACAGACATGCAATGTGGGATGTGTATATGTGTATGTATATGTGTATACACAGTTGGCCCTCCACATCCATGGTTTCTGTATCCATAGATTCAACTAACCTTGGGTTGAAACTATTTGGGAAAAAAGGATGGTTGTAACTGTGCTGAACATGTAAAGACTTTCTATTGTTATTATTTCCTAAACAATACAATATAACTGTAACTTACCATTTACATAGTATTATGTATTGTTGGCAATCTACAGATGATTTAAAGTTACAGGATGATGTGCATAGGTTATATCAAATACTACACCATTTGATATAAGGCAACCTCTACCTCCCGGGTTCAAGCAATTCTCCTGCCTCAGCCTCCCGCCATTCCCTATGCCCCGGTGTGGGTGAAGGCAACCGACGAGGGAGGAGGGTGACACCCGCTGGGGGCCGCGTTGCATAGGCCACCTGTGTGTGTGTGGGTGCCCTGCCACCCTGGCCTGGATGCCTGGCCCTTCGATTCTGAAATTAGCTGGGATTACAGGCATGCGCCACCATGCCCAGCTAATTTTTTGTATTTTTAGTAGAGATGGGGTTTCACCATGCTGGCCAGGCTGGTCTCAAACTCCTGACCTTGTGATCAGCCTGCCTGGGCCTCCCAAAGTGCTGAGATTACAGGCGTGAGCCACCGCGCCCAGCCAACCTCATCTTTCTTCTGTGGATAAATCCTTCTCACTCTCTTTCTAGCCTTTCTACCAAATAGAGCAAACTGATTCCTCTTTCCAGTTACTCCAAGTACTCTTGCCTTCATTTGCATGTTTTATTTTCATTATAATTACATTAGCATTAAAACAGGCATCTTATTTTCAGTACAACCAGAAATGGTGCATGCACTTTTTCTGTTACTGAGATGTCAACTCTATTTGTTTAAATTCTATGTTTTTGGCTCATTTCATTTCTGTGACTACAAAAATATAAACATTCAACAGTTTCTACCTTCTTGTTGTGCCTGTTTATCCTCATGGTTTTATTGATTCATACATGTTTTCCCGAACTCAACGACTTCTCAGATTCTATTTCTACTAAGAAATATGATACTGTGAACACCCTCAATACAAAGAGTCCCTCTTCTAATCAGTCCTGCACACTCAGCTTATCAAACACTTTGTGACTCACAGATAGATACACAATCTTGAAGACTCTACAGAGTTTGAAGACAGTGGATATCCTGAGCTTTATTCCCTGCTACCAGCATTATAAATGCTAGTGGGCCCCAGAGTGAATCCACAGAGGAGTACTGAAGAGTCCCCAAAAACCCATGATAGGGACTTTTAACCAATTTATCCTTTTTAAAGGGCTTTACTACCTAACAGATCTTCTTATCCAACGCATCTATAATTAACACTGCCCCCAAATTACTTTCCTATAAGGTTATGTATTTCCCATCAGTTATCTATTTTGTAAACCAACAACATTTATAGATGTTAAGCAAGTAATTGAAAACTCACGGCCAGGTGTGGTGGCTCACGCCTGTAATCCCAGCACTTTGGGAGGCCAAGGCAGGTGAATGACTTGAGGCCAGGAGTTCGAGACCAACCTGGCCAACATGGTGAAACCCCATCTCTACTAAAAATACAAAAAGTAGCCAGGCTTGGTAGCATACACCTGTAATCCCAGCTACTCAGGAGGCTGAGGCAGGAGAATCGCTTGAACTGTAGAGGCAGAGGTTGCAGTGAGCTGAGATCATGCCACTGCACTCTAGCCTGGGCAACAGAGTGAAACTCTGTCTCAAAAAAAAAAGAAAAGAAAAGAAAACTCACAATGCTTTAGATCAGGTTCTTTGCATTAAAAATTCAAAACATGAGCAGAAAATGATATATGTTTGTTCAAATAGAAGCAGTCATAAAATAATTAAATGTAAGTTATCATTGCATAATCTGCTCAAAGGGTACATCTGTCTAAGTTCTAATGACATTCAAAGTCCCAAATTTTAGGTTCCCCCACAGGTCCTTTACAATTTTCTTTGAAGATAGAATATTTTTTAAAAATTATTTTATGATAAAGACTAAAATTATGATATGAAAACATGTGGTATATATTATATTAAGGAAACAAGCTTGTTGCAGGCTTTGGATGCAAATTTACTCTGAGTCTCCCAGCAAGCAACAACAGAGGGTCGCAAACAGCAGTGTTTTATTTTAGGCTCAGCCATGGTGCAGCCTCCTTGAGGTAATGCTCTGAATGTTGACAGGCGGCATTACCTCTTTGGGTGGCTTAGAAACTGCCACAGGATGGCCATCATGCCACATTCCATGATGCCGAGGGTCCCAGCAGTGAGATGGCAGTGGCTAATCTCTGAGTCACTGAGCTCCTTCGGCCTGCTCTCTTGTCACCCTTGTTTCTATATTTCAACTGCTCAGAGCTGGATTTGCTTTATGATTTTGGTGATGTGTGAAGAAAATCAGTGTAGCAGATGGAAAGAATTCAAGCCATTTTTTTTAGCAAATGCCACATTTCTGCCAATTATGTATTTTGTTTCTTGTAGTAAAATCCCCAACATGTCATTTTTCAGCATGTCAGGTAAGCCTTATCACTTGCTTGTTTAAGTAATATCAGGTGTACTATTTCCTTGCAGAGGAGAAAGGCCTCCACATTTGGTTTTTATGTTCACAACAACTTGGTTCATGGCTTACAACAAACAGAAAGAAACAGTTCTTTAGAGCACAGCCAGAGGCAGAGGCCACAGCCTTGCTTGAGCTTCTACGGTTAGAGACATGACAGGCCGGGAGCGGTGGCTCATGCCTGTAATCCCAGCACTTTGGGAGGCCGAGGCGGGCGGATCATGAGGTCAGGAGATCGAGACCATTCTGGCTAACACGGTGAAACCCAGTCTCTACTAAAAATACAAAAAATTAGCCGGGTGTGGTGGTGGGCGCCTGTAGTCCCAGCTACTCAGGAGGCTGCGGCAGGAGAAGGGCGTGAACCCGGGAGGCGGAGCTTGTAGTGAGCCGAGATCGAGATCGTGCCACTGCACTCCAGCCTGGGCGACAGAGCGA